>NC_000006.12:4605454-4756969 GCF_000001405.40 Homo sapiens | reverse complement strand
TTGCTTTTCAGTATACATGGATGGCAGGGATTGGCCTAAATTCTCTTGTAATAAGCTATGAACATCACAATAAGCTATAAGGTGACAAAAGTAACCCATATTATTAAAAAATTTGAACTTGACTGAATTCACACAGCTGATTGGATTGGAATTCATATATTCTTAATTTCAAAACCCATGTTCTTTTTATTATACCCTGTTGCCTCTATCAAAGTAATTTGCTTTCTTTGAATACTATATTGTTTGTAGAATGATTTACATGTAAACTCATTTCAAACATCTGAGAGATGTAGAAGATGGTTGTAATTCATTTTGCCCTCTAGGAATTTTAAAATCTGACCAAGGAGGCAAGATACACACACACACACACACACACACACACACACACATACACACGATAATTTTAATTACTACAATTACTACACAGGGCAACATATGCTTCTGCTGAATGAGTAACACAAATAATAAATACAGTAGGTAAACTTTAGAGGAAAGTAAAAACCACAGAGCCAACTCAGAGACTTGAGTTGGACATTTTAAGGGAAAGAGGTGGGAGGATATTTATTTTGAGAGGCAAGGCTGAGTGAGCAAAGTTTAGAAGGCAGAAAGTAAAATGCCTATTCCAAGCAGTGTGAAGAGAGCAAAAGAGTGGAGTGAATTTTATCAGCTATTGGAAAAGTAGGTTGGAGTCGAAATGTGGAAAGCTTAGACTGTCAGGGAAAGGACCTTAAGACATTGTATCAGCTGAAGGCTTCTGGTCAACTAGAGGACAGGGCAACTGCTGCCTTCTGAAAGGTTGTTCAGTGGCCATTCAGGGGAGGAGAATGTGCAAGGAGCTAAAAGCAGAAAGAGAGGGCAGAGATTTATTGGAGACCTTAATGGGTAAGTGTGTGAACTAGAGGAAGGAAGAAAGGAAAATCAGGACGAGGCAATATTACAGGACTTACAGATGGATTTGACAGGAGAAATAATAAGGAGGAGGGAAAAACCTTCACAATTTCAAGTTTCCATATGAAGGAGAATTACGGTACCATAGGCAAAAATAGGCATACAAGAAGAAAGTTTGTTACAGAGAAAATAAAAATAATTTAATTTTAGATATAATTTTTGGGAGACCACTTAACATGACACTTGAGTTCAAGTTTTGCAGTATACTTGCTGTGAGACAAGTATACTTTCTTTACCTCTCTTATTTCCAATTTCCTAATAGGTAAAGTGAAGGTGGTAAAACTCACCTATAAGATGGTTCAGAGGATTAAGTGAGATTTGTTTTTAAAGCAGCCGTTGTAGTATGTAGTATATAATTGATAAAAGTTTTCTTGTTATTGCTAAGTCTTTTGATGCCACTAACATGAAATGAACAGTAATGATTAATAGTTGACACAATGAATTTGAGGTGACAGTAGAAGTATCCAGTGGGTAATCTAAGAAGTTGGAACTCAAGTGATATTCAGGTCCCAGAGTCATCTGTTAAGAATGATAGTTGATACTTTAAGAAGGTTTAGTTATCCTAGGTCAGCATGAAGGAAGAAATGCTGAATTTGGGGAATCACACAATTAGGGGTGTGAAGAGGAAGAAATGTTTAACAAGGCAAAGGTGGTCGGGCGTGGTGGCTCACGCCTGTAATCCCAGCACTTTGGGAGGCCGAGGCAGGTGGATCACCTGAGGTCAGGAGTTCAAGACCAGCCTGGCCAACAGGGGGAAACCCCGTCTCAACTAAAAATACAAAAAAAAAAAAAAATTAGGTGGGCATGGTGGCGGGCACCTGTAATCCCAGCTACTTTGGGAGGCTGAGGCAGAAGAATAGCTTGAACCTGGGAGACAGAGGTTGCAGTGAGCCAAGATTGTGCCATTGCACTCCAGCCTAGGTGACAAGAGGGAAATTCTGTCTCAAAAACAAAACAAAACAAAACAAAAAACAAAAAACAACAACAACAACAACAAACAGGACAAAGGCTTAATCAGAGAGAGAACTAAAAGAAAGAGGATGCAATATTCCAGAATTCAAGAAAGGGGTCATTTCAAAAAAGAAGTAAGCAGACACATTTCCAAATATTTCAAAAAGGCACATACCATGTATTACTTACATTTCAGAGTGATTTCAGGAATTTGGAATGATTTTCAAGACCACACATATTAGTAAATATTTTAATTTATAGGATATGATTCAAGAGTACATATTTATGACATTCAAGAATGGATTTCCTTCGAAATTATAGTAATCAAATATTAATTTAACAAATAGGAAGGGTCTGTAATAGGCATATTAAAGTACCAATCAGAGCAGTGCTAGATTATAAAGATAATCTAATGGCATTTTAATATGCAAATAGGAATAAAAGCTGTTGGGAAATAGCTCTTTAATATTCAGATATTCCTTCTTACAATTTAAACTCTTTTGTTTAATATACTCAGAGAGCAAAGAGTAAACTTCAACCACTCTTTGTCCAAATTGTCACAAAACCCAAATGATACAGCTCAACGGACTGAGATATTATTGTTTTGCTTGTTGGTGAGTCCAAGAACTATGTATCAAAGATCAAGTGCCTATTTACCCTTCAATGTCTGTTTATAAATTTAAGAGATCTTACAAAGCTAAATATGTCTTCTGAAATGAAAATCGGCCAACTTCAGAGACTTGAAAATGTGATTGGTTTGCATTCATGACTTAACACATGCCTCTGAAAAATCATAGTTGAGTGTCATCTCCAAGGTCCAGCTGATGAAAATAGTTTGCTTAAAGACTGATTCAAGGCTTCACTGGAAAATGATGTCAGAGACTCAATTCAACTGAAATTTATGAAGTAATCAAAATTGATTTTTTTTTCTTAAGAGACAGGGTCTCGCTCTATTGCCCAGACTGTAGTGTGCAGTGGTGCAGTCATAGCTCACTGCAGCTTCAAACTCCTGGGCTCAAATGATCCTCCCACCTCAGCCTCCCAAGTAGCTAGGGATAATTAATTTTTAAAAACAAGTCGATTTACAAAAGGTAGGCAACTACATAGATAAAACAAATTGCCAAAGGGAAAAAGGGGGTAAGAACATTAAAACCAAGATTGTTACAGAGCAATGGAATCCATTTGATAAACAAATTTGGCCCCAAGTTTCCTAGTGGCCAGAGCAAAGAGGGAAGAGGCTGATACTTTAATCATAAGATTAAAAAGTTGTTTAGTAGAAGCCAGGTTTCTCCTGAAGCTGCAGCCCCAAGGAAATTTATCACTGTGAGTCCTCATAAAGAGGAATCTAGCAATCCATCAGATCAGGTTCTCCATAAAATCCTTGTGTTGAATATAATAATGCATTTCTTACAGTTGGGTCTGATAGCACACCCCTTCATGTAAGCACAGTTCAGTCAAGTTACTACTACCAGGAGGCAAATACCTGGGATCCAAATACACAGTGCCCTGACAATCAGGTTTGATCCATAGGTAAATTTTAGGATATCCAGCAGAGTGGAGAATTTGCATAACCTTCAGGCGATTCTTCACAAACATTATTTCTCAAAAATCAGTATTTTGCTAAGGGATTGAACAGCAGGGAGTTCAAAGCTGTATTCTCTAGTGAGAGTCCAGAGTACAGGTATTCTGCATTATTACACATCTTTAGCACTGACAGCCCAAGAGGAAAGCTACCTCATACAGTTTAGCATGCAGGTGGGTGAGCACCTCTAAGGGAGCTCTTGTCTTGTTACCACTTGACTCCTTTGAGTCTATTTTTTCAGCTTAAAACAATAAAGATCATTAAAAATACACATATTAGGCCAGGCACCGTGGCTCATGCTTTCCATCCCCCACTTTTGGAGGCAGAGGCGGGCAGATTGCTTGAGCTCAGGAGTTCGAGTCCAGCCCGAGCTACATGGCAAAACCCCGTCTCTACCAGAAGGATTAGCCGGGCATGGTGGTGCACACCTGTGGTCCCAGCTACTCAGGAGGCTAAGGTGGGAGGATTGCTTGAGCCCAGGAGGTTGAGGCTGCGGTGAGCCAAGATCACACTGCTGCACTGCAGCCTGGGTGACAGAGTGAGATGCTGTCTTAAAAAAAAAAATCTATCTATCTATCTACCTACCTACATACCTACCTACCTACATACCTACCTACCTACCTATCTACAAACACACACACACACACACACATTATTTTCCTTTGCAGACATGAAAGACTTTTCCATTGCAAGCTCCCAGGGTGTCTAATTTGGTCCTCGCCGCCATGTGATGAGGCAGGGTCTGTAAGATCCTCATTTCACAGACAATTACCAAAAAAGGAGGGGTGGGCTTTAAAATATCTTTGAGGGCTAATATTCCATGATTTTCACTAGGAACCACTTTGCCAATTTGGCCTTTCAGGATAACAGATTTGATTGTTTTAGTGCTCACCTATTCTATTTGAACTATAAAATCCTAGGAGGCAGGGTAATCGTTTGTGTTAGGAGAGCCCCAGGAGGGTGCTTAGTCAATATTATCCTGATTTCGACCCCATCTGTGCACCTAAATCTTCCCCATTCTAATTCTTCTTTCCCGAAGTTATGATGAAAGCCTGTTAAAGTACAAGTTCAGAAATGTAAATTTTTAAAGTTGTCAAGCCAGCAGGTGAAAGAAACTATGACTGAATGACTTACAGCTTTAAAGAGCTATAAAAGACCTTTATTTGGAGGCACTCACAACCCCCTCATTGCCCTTCACAACATTCATCTTGGGAAGGAAGGGAACGGCTGCCCAGAAGCTGCAACAGATCTCTACCCTTGCAATTACCAGCCCTGAGGATGGTAATGGGGCATTAGCAGAATTCTCAGGAGCACCCACCCAGGATATGCTGCGAATATTAACGTGGGCAAGAGTCTGCTAGGAAGACCTGCTGTCCCTGTGCTAATTGCCCCAGACCCATTATTGTTGCTTCATTGTACAGGGGATTGATTCATTGGGTCACATGTGCAGCAACACATGTTGGAGATGGGAGAAGCTATTTAATGCCTGCAAAAATAGAGATGCAATGCAGGCCGGCATGCAGCTGTG
This sequence comes from Homo sapiens, assembly GCF_000001405.40. Taxonomy (NCBI): domain Eukaryota; kingdom Metazoa; phylum Chordata; class Mammalia; order Primates; family Hominidae; genus Homo; species Homo sapiens. Next base: position 4,751,960 of record NC_000006.12, on the reverse strand, counting down.
GCCTTGCCCAGTACTACCAAATTCATGCCGGGCCCAGAGCCAGCAAAACAGTCGCAGGAAAGACACCCCCATAGCATGTTAATATTTCTTCAACTTGTGAAAGATAAAGCCTTTTGTTCAGTATTTACAAGGACTGAAAGTCAAGATTTCCTTGAATAGTTTGCATTTCTAAGTATGGTTTCTTCTTCTATCACTTTTTTTCTTCTCCTGGGAGAAGTTTTAAAAACGAAATTGACTGGCTAGAGTTAAAAACTGGTTCATGCCAAAATGGAGCAGCTTATCATGTGAATTTGAGTCTTCGTCCATCGCTACCCCTGAATGGGGGATGTATTATGGGAATCTAGGGTGTTCATCCTATTCTTACTGTTTTCTTTGTAAACAACAGCCCTCTTCATTATTATCATTAAAGTTCTAGACACTTAAATGGCTTAAAAGCAAAAGGAAGCATACTGTCAATACATTTTACAAAGGAGAAGAAGAGCAAAGTAGGAAAGGTATACTTAAATGCTTAAATAAATTTCACACTTTTGAAAGACTGAAGGTTGTATAGACCAATGCTTCTTGAACTTTAATGTGCTTGCAAATCACTTGGGCACCTCAATAAAAGGCAGATTTTGACTCCATAGGTCTGGGTGAGGCCTGAAAATCTGCATTTCTAACGGATTCCCAAGTGTTGCTGATGCTGCGACTCCAGGGACCACAGTTTGTATAGCAAGTATATAAACCTACCCTATTCTTAGCAACATTTCTACCATTTAAAAATAAACTCTAGGCTACTCTCATTAAACCATTAAAAAGAGTATTTTGGCCAGGCGCAGTGGCTCACGCCTGTAATCCCAGCACTTTGGGAGGCCGAGGCGGGCGGATCACGAGGTCAGGAGATCGAGACCATCCTGGCTAACATGGTGAAACCCTGTCTCTACTAAAAAATATACAAAAAATTAGCCGGGCGTGGTGGCGGGTGCCTGTAGTCCCAGCTACTCGGGAGGCTGAGGCAGGAGAATGGCGTGAACCCAGGAGGCAGAGCTTGCAGTGAGCCGAGATCGTGCCACTGCACTCCAGCCTAGGTGACAGAGCAAGACTCCATCTTAAAAAAAAAAAAAAAGAAAAGAAAAAAGAAAAGAGTATTTTGCTCAAAGCCAAATATCTGAAATTTAAAACTCTAGAAAGACACGCGTGATTTTTTTTTAAATGAGATAACAAACTCCTGTCTATATACTTACAGTATGTACAGAATCTTTAATTTTTTTTCTAGCTTTTGTCATTCATACACACTTTTCAAACTTATTTTTAATACATCACATATATTAATTTGATTGTTGTCGTTGTGCAGTGGCACGATCACAGCTTACTGCAGACTTGAACTCCTAGGCTCCAGCAGTCCTCTGGCCCCAGCCTCCTGAGTAGCTGAGACTACCTACATGTGCCACCATTCCCAGCTAATTAAAAAAATTTTTTTGGCCGGGCATGGTGGCTCACGCCTATAATCCCAGCACTTTGGGAGGCTGAGGCAGGTGGGTCAGTTGAGGTCAGGAGTTTGAGACCAGCTGGCCAACATGGTGAAACCCCGTCTCTTTTAAAAATACAAAAATTAGCCGGGCATGGTGGTGCACACCTGTAGTCCCAGCTACATGGGAGGCTGAGGCAGGAGAATCTCTTGAACCCGGGAGGTGGAGGTTGCAGTGAGCCAAGATCGTGCCATTGCTCTCCAGCCTGGGCAACAGAGCAAGACTCCGTCTCAAAATAATAATAATAATAAATTAAATTAAATAAAAACTTTTTTTTGCAAGGACAGAGTCTTGCTCTGTTGCCCAGACTTGTCTTAAACTCCTGGCCTCAAGCAGTCTTCCAGCCTCAGCCTCCCAAAGTGCTGAGATTACAGGGGTGAGCCACCATGCCTGGCCTTTACAGTTATTAATTTTAAGACTAAGTAGCTGTTACCTAATTAGGAATGAAGAGAGACGTGCTCCAAATTATGGCACAGCACAAGCAAAGTTCAAGAAGCCTCCTCAGTACATGGGAAATCTGCCCTCTCATCTGAACCCCCTACTTGGACCATATAGCCCTGTTTTTTCCTATTGTGTTGGTGTATTAATAAGGCCCTCTTTCACTCTCGAAGGGGACCCACTTTAGAAAATAAGTTATATCACTCTACTTACAGCTTATCTGCAAGAATAGTCACCTGGCGTTTAACACATTGTTTTCCTGTATTGCTAATCATTTCTGCTTACATCCATGTCTTAGGTTTCCGATGAGATTATAACTTATTTGAAAACATCTCATTTATTAATTAGATCATTTACCAAGAATTCTTTAAAACAACCTGGGATCATTGGCCCATATGCAGAAGCAAGTTAGATCAAATACCTCTTAAAGTCAGAAAACATTGAAACAGTCTATTCAATAACTATCTGAATAGTGGTGGCAGCCCTAAATAGAACACATTTATCCATCTATCCTTCCATTCATTCATCCATCCATTCATCCATCCATCCATCACATATCCATCCATCCATCCATCTCATATCCATTCATCCATCCATCCATCATACATTCATTCATCCATCCATCTATCCATCACATATCCATTCATCCATCCATCCATCTATCTCATATCCAGCCATCCATCCATCCATCCATCCATCCATCCATCTATCCATCCATCCATCCATCCATCCAACAAAACCCTATCGAAAACTACTTTTGTGCCAGGCTCTGGGCTAGGTGCTGTGAGTACAAAAACCAGCTCTTGCCTCCCAGGCCTATTGCTTAGTCCTTCACAATGAAATGTTTATTGACTTACTTTAAAAAACAGACTTTTTCCCCCCAGTTTTTGAGAAGGTCATTTGTTTGGGAAAATGGAGTAGAAAAAAATTACCTGTTGGAATAAACACTATTCTAGAAATACACAGACTGTGACTTTGGCTCAGGCTCCAAGGCGATCTAACAGTGTGTCTACAGGGGAGTCACTTCCATCCTCTGTGTGAAACGAAGGAGCTTGGTGATTGCTAAGATCCCTTCCAGTCTCACTGTTCTATTATAGGAGGTAAGATGTTTACTTCTCTGCTGTTAAAGACTTCTAGGAAGAGCAGAATTTTAGGAAAGCTTTGAATAGCAGAAGGAATAATTTCATAGAAGCCTTTAGAGATGAATAATTATAAGCTAAGATACTTCTTGGCTTTTTGCACATTTTCCCTTTTTACCTCTCCTTCTTCCATCTTTAGTTTTACAGTTTGCCAAGATTTCTTTTCTTTATATTTTTTTTTACTAAAATTTGTTTGTGTGTGTGTGTGTGTGTGTGTGTCTTTGCCATCAGTCTCTCCATCCAACCATGTATGTCTTCCTATCCTGGTCCCCATACCTCCCACGCTCCTACCCCTACCCCCGTGTCCATTCATCCTCTTGGCTTCCCGAACTTCCCTGGAATCTCCCAATGCCATCATACTCCTGTTTTGCTCCTATTCCAAGTCTTGCTATCAGTTTCTGTTTTTCTTCCCTCAGAATTCTCTTTCTCAAGCTCCACCAGTTAGACATTTGCCATATAGCCTGTGTTATTAGTATGTATCCTTTATGTTTTTTTCCAGGTGAAAAATGATGTTTTTCACCTGGAAAAAAATGCTGTGTTTCCCAGGCTGGTGTTAAACTCCTGGCCTCAAGCAGTCTTCCAGCTTTGGCCTCCCCAACTGCATGAGCCACTGTGCTCAGCCTTGATATTTATTAATTTTAAGAAGACTAAGTAGCTGTTACCTAATTAGGGATGAAGAGAGATGTACTTGAAATCACGGGCACAGCACATGCAAAGGTCAAGAAGCAAGAGGTCAACATAGCAAAAGGAATCTTATATTCCCTGGAAAACCTCCCAGTGTGACTTGGTGTGTCGAGAAGCTCCCTGACATGCTCTGTGAATGACATATATCTCTGCAGACTCATTCACCCAATAGATATTTATTAAACACCTGCTATCTACAGCAGCATTGTGTTAAGGCACAGGGACAGGCAGTACAAAGATGGAGAAGGTACGACATTTCTCTCCTTGGAACTTACAATGTAGAAGGAAAGACTGACTTGAAAACAAAAGAATTGCAGTGCAGTATGATAAATGACATACTGCCATGGGAACATGGTGAAGAAGTCCCTAATGATTCCTGTGGGAAAGCTTCCCTGGGGTATTGGCATTTAACTTCACAGTTGTTTCTTCTTTGCCACTCACTGCCAGGTGTTTCTGACTCAAGGGCCTTGCACTGGTGAGAAACAGTTCTAGTTCCCTTTTGTCTGTGTCCTGTGCTAAAACAGCCACAATCGCAGTTGTCCATTACAAAGATGAATAAATGCACTAAGTGCTGGTACAGGCTCTCTAAGGTAAAAAGGATCAGGACCTGGGAAGCAATTTATATCTGTGCACGAAAAGCAAAGGAAATATTCAACTTTTGGAAAACGCACAGTTGGGGAAATGAGATTTCTAGTGGCAGGAGTGGGACATGAGGGCCAGGTCACCTCAGTAATAACCACCTATCACAAATACATAAATAAATAAAAGAAAGGAAATGCTCTGAGCTCTTCTATGGATTCAAATCCTATTGATTCTCTTTGATTAAAATTCAGAAATGTTTTGGGTAATAATGCATTAATGCCCATGATTTTTTTTTTTTTTTTTGAGATGAAGTCATGCTGTGTCGCCCAGGCTGGAGTGCAGTGGCACAATCTCTGCTCACTGCAACCTCTGCCTCCCAGGTGCAAGCAATTCTCCTGCCTCAATCTCATGAGTAGCTGGGATTACAGGTGCCCGCCACCACTCTTGGCTAATTTTTGGATTTTCAATAGAGACAGGGTTTCACCATGTTGGCCAGGCTGGTCTTGAACTCTTGACCTCATGATCGGCCCGCCTCGACCTCCCAAAGTGCTGGGATTACAGGCGTGAGCCACTGTGCCTGACCAATGCCTATGAATTTTTAACATTAAATCATTCACCAGAGTAGCTAGGAAAGACCCTGAGAGAAAGGGACACAGAACTAATTTAGGATGGGGATTGGGGTAACGCAGCATGGAGCAGGACCCCCAAGAGTAGATGGGGTGAGGGGCCGGCACAGCGAGAAGACCTGGCCAGTGTGTGCTATGTGGGGTGCAGGGCAGGAGGCCAACAGTCCTCTTCTGGGAAAATCTCATCCTTCCCCTGGCTCCCATTAGTCTATGCCAGCGACCCCACAGCTTCTTCTCCAGGCCAGATCTGTCCTGTGAACTCTGGACTCCTGTGAGCTCTATTTGATTTGAACCTGTTTCCAAACCTGCTTCTCTCTTCCCTGTGTTTTTGGACCCACTCATCAGCCTAATTGTCCGAGCTGGGTACCTGGACATTGGGCCTGACCCCGCCTCCTCTCTCAGCCACCAGGCTTAAGCACGCATCAAGCTCTGGTCTCTCCACCTCCTCAGCAGCATTCCGGTCTCTTCATTACTATCCATTCCTGTTGTTGTGCCCTAGGTCTGGGTCTCACCATTTCATCACTGCATTACCTTGATAGACTCATTGATTTCCTTCATTGAAGTCATCTTTCAAACCATTCTCTACCCTGCAGCTAGACTAAACTTTTTTTTTTTTTTTTTTTGAGAGAGTCTGCTCTGTCACCCAGGCTGAAGTGCAATGGGGCAATCTTGGTTCATTGCAACCTCCGCCTCCCGGGTTCAAGTGATTCTCCTGTCTCAGCCACCTGAGTAGCTGGGATTACAGGTGTGTGCCACCACGCCTGGCTCGTTTTTGTACTTTCAGTAGAGATGGGGTTTCACCATGTTGGTCAGGCCGGTCTAGAACTCCTGACCTCGCGATCCACCTGCCTCAGCCTCCCAAAGTGCTGGGATTACAGGGGTGAGCCACCGCGCCCAGCCAGCTAGAATGAACCTTCTAAAGCATGCATTGGATGTCCCGTTTGTATCTAACATTTATCTCGCTAGGATGAAGTCCATGCTGGTGAGTGTAGCATGCCAGGCATCTTCAGGCTGATTCCTGTCACACCCCTACCCATGGCTCCCACATTCTGGTTATCATCAACACTTCCCTGAACACATGCTTTCTCCTGCTCTGGGCTTGTGCACTGTTGCCTCCACTACTGGGATTGCCTTCCAGTCTGCCCACACTTGGCAAGCTTCTATTTATCCTCCCAGGCCTCAGCTTGGGCCTCATCAAAAGGATTTCTACCCTCACTTCCCCATGAGACCAGCTGCCTCTCGTTGCAGACACAACACCTGAGCTTAACTGACAGCACTGGACGCCCTGTTCTGCAAGTGCAGAGCTGGGCTTTGACCCTGGTGACACTTCTACTCCTCAGTGTTTTACCTGACCAGAGTGGACACTCAGTGTTATTTAACTTTTTTTTTTTAATTTTTATTTTTAATAGAGATGGGGTTTCACTATGTTGGCCAGGCTGGTCTCGAATTCCTGACCTCAAGTGATCTTTTCTGCCCACCTCAGCCTCCCAAAGTGCTGAGATTACAGGCGTGAGCTACCGAGCCCGGCCAACACTAAGTGTTTGATGAAAGAAAGGAGGGAGGGAAAGAGGGGGTTTTCTGAGAGAGGAATAAAAGGTCTTCAAATCATACTTGGTCTATTTTCTCATTTTCCTAAATGCCAACCTCTTTCTTTCCCCCTTTTTGTTCATAGAGTCCATGACATGTGGCTTAATAATACAAATTAGTAAAGTATGGCTGGGGTAGGCCAGGCGAGGTGGCTCAGGCCTGTCATGCCAGCACTTTGGGAGGCTGAGCCTGGAGGATCACTTGAAGCCAGTAATTCAAGACCAGCCTGAGCCACATAGTGAGACCTCGTCTACAATAAATAAAATTAGTCGGGTATAGTGGCACCTGCCTGTAGTACTAGCTACTCGGGAGGCTGAGGCAGGAGGATTGCTTGAGCCTAGGAGTTTGAGACTGAGGCTGCAGTGAGCTATAATCATGCCACTGCACTCCAACCTGGGCAACAGAGCCAGGGGCCTGTCTCTAAAAAGAAAAGAAATGTATGTCTGAGATATCTTTCCTCATAAACCAGACTGATTACATAGGTGATGAATGATTGGCTAGTGCTGAATAGTTGACACAGTTGAGAGTCATTTCTTTGAAGAAAAAAAAAAGCTCAAATCTACTTTACAAACAATTTACCATAGAGGTTAAGAGATTAGCGTTGCTCTCTGAGAGACCTGAGTTCAAGTCTTGGCTCTGCTATTTGCTATGACTTTGGAAAAATTAACCTCTTTAAGCCGTAGTTTCCTTATCTGTAAAATGAAGATCATAGTAGTATCTACCTCATAAGGTTTTTAGAGATTAGTAAAGGTATGTAAAGAATTTAGTACACTGCCTGGCACACAGTGACAAGAAATGTTGGTTCTTAAAGTAATCAGTGGTAGTAGGACTCTGGACTTTTCCTTGATTTCAACATGCACTCTCTTTCTCTTTGTCTCATAATTTGGCAATTTTTTTTTTTGAGACAGGGTCTTGCTCTGTTGTCCAGGCTGAAGTGCAGTGGGTTCAATCATAGCTCACTGCAGCCTTGAACTCCTGGGCTCAAGCAATCCTCCTGCCTCAGCCTCCTGAGTAGCTGGGACTACAGGCATGCAGCACCACACGTCTGGCTATTTTTAAAATTTTTTGTAGGGACAGGGTTTTACTAAGCTGACTAGGCTGGCCTTAAATTCCTGGCCTCAAGCAGTCCTCCCACCTCAGCCTCCCAGAGTGCTGGGATTGCAGTGTGAGACTTCGCGCCTGAGCTATTTAGCAATTTTATAGTCAGATTCTGGACTGGTGGGCCCCACTGATGGCTTCCCTCGACACTCTCCTTCCCAACTCCCATCTGACCTTCGTCCTGCTCAGTAGTGATTCAGCTCCCCACCCCTCCTTCACCAGCCTCTGCAGACTTCTGGGTCAGGAATTAGTCGACATTATCATAAAATCTTTGGATCCCTCCTTATGAGAAACTACATCTTAAATCCTGTTCCAACTTGAGAAAAGTCTCACAAGCTACATAGGAAAAGGAGCTGTTATCACACTCACCTGTAGGTATTTTATCTAAGTCATATACTCTCAGGTACAAGTTATTACTAGGAACTGTTATAATTAATAAGCAAATTGTGTTTCTTATCATACTACACATCTGACAAGCCACATCTGTGGGGTTACCACCTTGTATTATGTTTAAACATATTATTTTGCATTTTCCTGTTTTATGCAACTAAACCTTATCCTAATCAATATAAAATTCAACACCCATGAGTTGGATGATATATATAATAAAATCCAATTGTGTCATTGGCTTAGTGGAGAAGATCAGACATGGAGCAGTGGTGAGCAGATATCATCAGTTGGAAAATTAGTGACCCTTGTTATGCTGTAGCAAAACATTTGCTCAAAATTGCCATTTCCTGAATAATATAAAGCAAGCAACATGCAAACTGAAGATGTGGCTGGGGGAAGGGGTAAGAAGTGTAAAATTTTGGTTTGTATTGATTGCATCTTGCAGCTTTTAGCTAAGAGCTGTGATAAAGATATAAACTCATCTGGAGCTATCCTGCCTGCCAACAGAGATGGAAGGAAACATAGCTTTGTAAAGATTAGACTCTGCCTGTAATCTAAACTCAGCTATGAGTCCTGTAACTGGGAGTCTTGTAGGATGAAAAATACAGCTTCCAGTGAGTGCAAGCCCATCCAGCCTTGGCAGGAGATAAGGCTGTGGCCCCAGGCACTTTCCGAGCATCTTCCTAGGTTCCTTGCCAGACAATGGAAACAAGCCCAGACACAAAGATTAGATTAAGCGTGTTCCCATCTCACCCAACTTCTTTCTTCTTTCAAATGGTCTCAAGGCAGCCAGGCCAATTGGAGAGGGAAAGGATGGCCAGAGCATAAAGAGCTCTAAATAAAAGATCAGAGCCTTGGGGCGTGAGAAGTGTTTCTGGACGCAGTGTTAGGCTGTAGTAACCCACACTTGGAATTGACTGGAAGCAAAGAGATTGGATGGAAGCTTCCTATGTTTGGACAGAAACCTCAAGCTTGGCCTGCAAAAACTGTGATTAGACAACTCTGAAAAGAATTCCTGGGAACCTGCACCTGCACAAGCAAGAAGTTGGCGGTGGAAACCATGCAGCTTCAAGATGATCCTATCTCCAATGCCCAGGGCTCAGATATAGCCATAGAGGAAAACTGACAAGGAAAAACCCCTGAGAGGGCAAAGCCAGAGGCCATGGGGGCAATGGACAAGAGAGATCCTTCAAGGCAGCAGCTCAATCAAGGAATGACCTTCTCTGCCCCCAAAGGGAGTCTTTGCCATTCCTATCCAGCAGGATTTGATCATTGCTATGGACCAATACCTGCAATATTTCTCTCTTCCTTTTTCTTTTCTTTTCCAGCAGGATTTGATCATTGCTACGGGCCAATACCTGCAATATTTCTCTCTTCCTTTTTCTTTTCTTTTCCAGCAGGATTTGATCATGGCTGTGGACCAATACCTGCAATATTTCTCTCTTCCTTTTTCTTTTCTTTTCCAGCAGGATTTGATCATTGCTATGGACCAATACCTGCAATATTTCTCTCTTCCTTTTTCTTTTCTTTTTTTTTTTTTTTTTGAGACAGGATCTTTGTCACCCAGGCTGGAGTGCAGTGGTGCAATCTTGGCTCACTGCAACCTCTGCCTCCTGGGCTTAAATGACCCTCCCACCATCAGTTTCCCAAGTAGCTGGGACTACAGGCACACACCACCACACCTGGCTAATTAAAAAAAATTTTATTTTTTATTTTTTGTAGAGATGAGGCTTCACTATGTTGCCCAAGCTGGTCTTGAATTCCTGGGCTCCAGTGATCTGAGTAATCCCAAAATGTTGGGGTTAGAGGCATGAGCCACCACACCCAGCCTTTCCCTGCTTTTCTAATGTGAGTTTTTCTGTGTGTCTGCTTATTTTGCTCCTATGCCAGCAATTATATTGCATGTAAATGTAGATAACATTTTTTGGTTTGCAAATTACCAGACCATGAGGAGGCACATGCAGACATGATCGAGCACATCACCTAGAGATTCTGGACTTTGAGTGAGATGCACTAACTGGATGGGAAATGCCTAGGTCTACACAGGGGCAGAAGAGTATTCATGAGTATATCTGCCAGAGGACCAGTCTACAGCATCAACTACTAGCTGCCTTCCAAAACCCACTCTTTGCTTCTCCTTTAGCAAAGAAATCCTGATTTTCACCCAGGCACATTGCTGCCCAGCTAGAAATCTGTATTTCCCTGCTTCCTTGACCATTAAGTATGGTCAGGTAATTAAATTCTGGCCAGTGAGATAAAAGTAGTTGGGTTGCAAGGAGCTGCCTGGAAGTGTTCTTAAAAGAGTAGAACCATGCCCTTCCCTTCTCCTTCCTGCTGATTTGAACTTAGAAACAGGGATGTTCTGGGGGAGCTTCAGCAAGCATCTGGAACTATGAGGATGAGGGGCACAGAGAATGCAATGGAGCATGATGATGTCATGGAGCTACCAAAGCAGCTCTGGACTGCTTATCTCTAGGTTTCTTTTAACTGAGAGAAAAATGAAATTTAATCTTATATATGCCTTTGTCTTTTGCAGTTTTATGCTATGAAGCTGAATGTAACCATGACTGGTAGCCTCTTCATGCATGATTTGGCCAATTGAACTTTAAGACTATGGAGAAGGTGATTTAATGGTGTAGATTTGACATCTGGTCCATGGATCAGTTGAACTATTTCCTGGGAGGTTGAAAAGAAATACCTGTGTTGTGCTTCCTTTGGCTTTGGAAATAGCCAGGGTTAGACTGAATTAGAATGCAAGCCTGATTAATTTTCATGACTGAAAAAAATTCCATAATATTTTGCCCAATTAAAATGATTATAGAGGCTAGGTGTGTTGGCTCACACCTGTAATCCCAGCACTTTGGGAGGCTGAGGCAGGTGGCCCACTTGAAGTCAGGAGTTCGAGACCAGCCTGGCCAACATGGTGAAACCCCATCTCTACTAAAAATACAAAAATTAGCCAGGCACGGTGGCACATGCCTGTAATCCCAGCTACTCCAGAGGCTGAGGCAGGAGAATCGTTTAAACCCAGGAGGCGGAGGTTGCAGTGAGCAGAGATCACACCACTGCACTCCAGCCTAGGTGACAGAGCAAGACTCCATCTCAAAAAAAAAAAAAAAGATTTTAGAGTATATGCCCTTTCCAACAGATGCCATTCTGCCTGCTGTGGATACAGAGAAGAGAAACTAGAGGCCATGGTTTTGGCAGAAGCAGCTCTATCACCCACACTCTCCGGTCTAGTCAGTGTCCAGTATTAGAAAGAAAGATTAGAAAGAAGATGTGGCTTCACTTGTCTGATAATTTATAAAAAGGACTCATCAGAAAAGTAGTCAAATTTAGTATATTAGATTCAATGCAACGGTTATTTATGTTAATTTCTATGAGCTTACATTGGGTTTCTCAACCTCGGCACTATTGACATTTGGACCAGATGGTTCTTTGTGGTGGGGGCTGTCCTGAGAATCTCAGGATGTTCAGCAGTTCCCTGGCCTCGACACTCTCCATTCTAGTAGCAACGCCCTCTGCCCCAGCTGTGACGACTAAAATGCCTCCAGACATTGCCAAGTGTCCCCTGGCAGTGAAAATTGTCCCCAGGTTGAGAAGCACCGGCTTGACATGAGGCTCAAGGCTCACACTGTGTTGTTCTGTGATACACAGAGCCTGCTGTTAGCACACGTGGGATGAGGAGAAGCCACCAGTTGGTGTAGTTGGGAAACAGGAAGCAAGTACATTTTAGCACCTGTTCTTGATAGATAACTTCAAGGATAGCTATAATTTAGCAAGTATCTAATAAAAGTCAGACACTCTCCTTCGTAATTTCACATGTACTGCTTTTTTTGGGAAAATTTTTTTAAAGTATAGGAAAGTACAATAACACTTCTCCTCTTTCCTTCCCCATTTCCTTTCCATCAGAAATTTAGTGTGTATCAATTACTTTTTTTTTTCTTTTTGTTTTGAGACAGAGTTTCACTCTTGTTGCCCAGGCTGGAGTGCAATGGCATGATCTTGGCTCACCACAACCTCTGCCTCCTGGGTTCTAGCGATTCTCCTGTCTCAGCCTCCCGAGTAGCTGGGAATACAGGCATGCGCCACCATGCCCAGCTAATTTTGTATTTTTTAGTAGAGACGGGGTTTCTCCACGTTGATCAGGCTGTTCTCGAACTCCTGACCTCAGGTGATCTGCCTGCCTCACCTCCCAAAGTTCTGGGATTACAGGTGTGAGCCACCACGCCCGGCCTCAATCACCTTTTTATGCTTTTACTAGGTAGAAATACATCTGTAAATATTTAATGTTGCTTTGGTATTTAAGAATATTTAAATAAGTGGTATTATACTGTATAAAACTATCCGTGGCATTTTTTTTTTACTCAACTTTTTTTTTTTTTTTTGAGTCAGAGTTTTACTCTTGTCACCCAGGCTGGAGTGCAAATGGCGAGATCTCGGCTCACTGCAACCTCTGCCTCCCAGATTCAAGTGATTCTTCTGCCTCAGCCTCCTGAGTAGCTGGGATTACAGGTGCCTGCCACCATGCCCAGCTAATTTTTTGCATTTTTAGTAGAAACAGGGTTTTGCCATGTTAGCCAGGCTGGTCTTGAACTCCTGACCTCAGGTCATTCACCCACCTCAGCCTCCCAAAGTGCTAGGATTACAGGAGTGAGCCACTGTGCCTGGCCTCAACATTGTTTTTATTTTATTTTATTTTATTTTATTTTATTTTTATTATTTAATTATTTATTTATTTATGTTTGAGACAGAGTTTTGCTCTTGTTGCCCAGGCTGGAGTGCAATGGCGTGATCTTGGCTCACTGCAACCTCCGCCTCCCAGGTTGAAGCGATTCTCCAGCCTCAGCCTCCCAAGTAGCTGGGATTACAGGCATGTGCCACCACGCCCGGCTAATTTTGTGTTTTTAGTAGAGATGGGGTTTCTCCATGTTGGTCAGGCTGGGCTTGAACTCCCAACCTCAGGTGATCTGCCTGCCTCGGCCTCCCAAAGTGCTGGGATTACAGGCGTGAGCCGCTGCGCCCGGCCACATTGTTTTTAATAATTCCTTGATGTCGCTACGTATAAATCTGGTTCCTTTGTTTATACTGCACATATTGTTCCATTGTAGTTTATTTATCCATTCTTCTACACACAGACGTTTGAGCTAGTTCCAACTAATCTCTACTATAGAGCAACACTGCAGTAAACATCTTTATTTGTCTCTTTGCACACATGTACAAGTGTTTCTTCAGAAGCAGAATTGGGTCAGAGGTTGTACTCATTTTTCACTTTGCTGGATAATGCCAACTTTTTCTCCAAAGTGATTGAATAAATTTGCATTCCCACTAATAGTGCATGAGAATCTTTGGTTTCCCACGATCCTCTCTAACACTTGGTTTTGTCAAAATTTTAAAGTTTTTCTAATCATATGGGAAAGTGAAATGATTTGTGGGAGTGAAATGTGGATTTATTTGCATTTACATGTTTGTGGTAAAGTTGTACAACTTTTCCTGCATTTGTTTTATTTTTACTTATTACTACTTTTCTGAGACAGAGTCTCACTTGGTCACCCACGCTGAGGTGCAATGGTGTATAATCTTGGCTCACTGCAACCTCTGCCTCCCAGGTTCAAATGATTCTTGTGCCTCAGCCTCCCTAGTAGTTGGGATTACAGGTGTGCACCACCATGCCTGGCTCATTTATTGTACTTTTAGTAGAGATGGGGTTTCACCATGTTGGCCAGGCTGGTCTCCAACTCCTGGCCTCAAGTGATCCATTTGCCTTGGCCTCCCAAAGTGCTGGGAGCCATAGAGCCCAGCCTGTATTTTTTGACTATAGCAGTTTCTTCTGTGAATTACTGCATGTATCATTTACTCATTTTTTTCTATTGTATTTTCTTTAAAGTTTATTTAAAATAATTTTAGCATGTTTTGTATATTAATGCTTTGTTTTTCGTGTTGCAAACACTTTCTTTTAGGCTTTTGACTTTTTACATTTTTTCTAAGATGTCTGTTATTGTGTTGAAGTTTTTAACTTTCATGTAATTCAATTTACGTTTTTAAACATTTGTCCGTTTTGGGTCTTATTTAAGAAACCATTTCCAGCTGGTGCGATGGCTCACACCTGTAATCCCAGCACTCTGGGAGGCCAAAGTGGGTGGATCATGAGGTCAAGAGATCGAGACCATCCTGGCCAACATGGTGAAACCCTGTCTCTACTAAAAATACAAAAATTAGCCAGGCGTGGTGGTGCATGCCTGTAGTCCCCCCTACTTGGGAGGCTGAGGCTATTTTTTTTTTTTTTTGAGACGGAGTTTTGCAACATGATCACGGCTCACTGCAACCTCCACCTCCCAGTTTCAAGGGATTCTCCTGCCTCAGCCTCCTGAGTAGCTGGGATTACAGGCATGTGCCACCATGCTGATTTTGTATTTTTAGTAGACACGGGGTTTCACCATGTTGGCCAGGCTGGTCTCAAACTCCTGACCTCAGGTGATTCACCCGCCTCAGCCTCCCAAAGTGCTGGGATTACAGGCGTGAGCCACTGCGCCTGGCCCCTTTTAATTTTTGTTGCAAATATTTCTTAAGTTTGTTATTTTTGGTCTGTGACGTGTTTTGCATCTTTTTTTGTGTGTGTAGTGAAATCTATCAATTTCCCCCATCGTTCCTTCTATTACTTTTATACTTAGAAAGCTTCTACTGTCTCAAATCAGTTAAAGTCACATATGGTTTCCTTTAGGAAAACTTTTAAAGTTGTCTTTACAACTTGTTTTTCATCATATAAAAAGATGTTTATTATTATTTTTAAAGACAGTACAAAGGAGTTTAACATGAAAAGACATTCCCTTCTTTTCCTCTCAATTTCCATCTCTACTCCCCAGAGGTAATCACTGTTAGCAGTTTCTCGGGTATCAATTCCAGAATATTTTGTGAATATCAAGCATAAACAGGAGTCACAGTAACAGACTATTTAGGGAACTCGTTCTGTCATCTCAGAGTTGCTTGTCCCATCAGTGTATTCTGTTTACCACTATATCGATAAACAAAGCACTTGAAACATGATAGATGTAATTTGTTGAATTAAGTGAATTAGCAGATGAGAAATTTCTGAGACTGTCTTTTGCAAAGAGAGGATTCATGTTTACTCCTTTTCAATGTTTCATGTGCACTTACTCTTAATGTCTATGCTCCTCCTGCTAAGTCTATGGGTTATGAGGGAAAAAAAAAGCTAAGTTGCTAATAAAGTGCGTAGCAGAAAAAAAAAAAAGCTGAGTAGCATTGGCTTTCATGTCTCTCCACTCCTAGGGAAGTTGCCAGGTGATTCTGCAAACCTCACCAAGAGGCCACCAAACCAGCCCTGCAGCCATGTCCCCTGCACCCTCCTGACCTATATAAGCAGAGGCCAGGAAGGCTGTGGGAGGATTCCCTGGAGCAGGCAGTAGTCAGTCTAGTGCAAGGGTTCTTTGTCTGTCCTTGGCAGGTTGCAAACATCAATGGGAAAAATATTCCATCCTTATTTTCACTATCCTCTAGCTGAAATGTTGCATTTCCCCCAATTATGAATGTACGCAACAAACTATAGTAGTACCAGCAACAACTGTAACTTAGTCTCTAGTAGAAAGCACACGTGTTTTCATATAACATACAGCTATTGCAGATATAGCAAAATACCTTTATACTCATCACTAGTTAGAAATCACTGTTAGACCTTGTTATACTATGTTTTAATAAAGCATCATCTAAGTGAAAGAAGCCAGACACAGAAGGACAAGCACTACATCATTTCACTTGAGAAATATAAAATAGTCAAACACATAGAAGCAAAGAGCAGAATGATGGTTGACAGGGGCTGGGGGAGTGGGAAACAGGAGGGCTTGGTCAAAGGGTACAACATTTCCCTTATACAAGTTCTAAAGAGCTACTGGAGAGCATGCTGTCTATAGTTAACAGAACTTGCATACTTGAGCATTTACCAAGAGGGTAGATCTTAACTGTTAGGTGCTCTCATCCCACCCCCCCCCATCACGTGCACACATGCACATAAATACAGAGGGCGGGGGAACCTTTTGGAGATGATGGATATGTTTATAACATAAATTGTGGTGATAGTTTCATGGGGGTGCACGTATACATTAAATATGTACAACTATTTTTTTTTTTGAGATGGAGTTTCGCTCTTGTTGCCCGTGCTAGAGTGCAGTGGAGCGATCTCAGCTCGCCGCAACCTCCACCTCCTGGGTTCAAGTGATTCTCCCACCTCAGCCTCCTGAGTAGTTGGGATTACAGGTGTGCACCACCAAGCTTGGCTAATTTTTTTGTATTTTTAGTAGAGATGGGGTTTCACCATGTTGGCCAGGCTGGTCTCGAACTCCTTTCCTCAAGCGATCCACCCACCTAGGCCTCCCAAAGGGCTAGGATTACAGCCATGAGCCACTGAGCCTGGCCTGAATAGGTACAGCTTTTTGTATGTCAATTATATCCTAATAAAGTGATTTTTTTTAAAAAGAAGCATTATTACTAGAGTACACATTTTCAAATGATTGTGATAACTGCATTTCAATGTAATTGATAACCTTTGTAGTCCTGTATATTTTATTTTATAAACTTAAAAACGTCCTTTTTTTTTTCTTTTTTTTGAGACAGAGTTTCGCTGTTGTTACCCAGGCTAGAGTGCAACGATGTAATGAATCTCAGCTCACCGCAACCTCCATCTCCCGGGTTCAAGCGATTCTCCTGCCTCAGCCTCCTAAGTAGCTGGGATTACAGGCATGCGCCACCACGCCCAGCAAATTTTGTATTTTTAGTAGAGACGGGGTTTCTCCATGTTGGTCAGGCTGGTCTTGAACTCCCGACCTCAGCTGATCCGCCTGCCTCGGCCTCCCAAAGTGCTGGGATTACAGGCATGAGCCACTGTGCCCGGCCAAAAACATCATTCTAAGGAGTCCACAGCTTCACCAGACCACCAAAGGGACCCAAGCACAGGACAGATGTAAAGGGAGAGTGTGGTGTGGGGCGATTCCCCTATGGGCTCTTCCTTGCCAGATGGACTCCAAGCTTGCCACTGGGAGAAACCAAGACCTACCTGTAAAGCGGGAGGCTGCTGTGCCCCGCTTTGCTCACTGCTCACGGAGATGCTGGGGTCTGAAGGCCCATCTGGTGCTGACACTAGCACAGAATAATGAGAAAGTTTCTGAGAGAGGTGGACCCATCCTCTTCCCCATCCCCATCTTCCCTCCATCCCCATCCCCCAACTTCCCATCCCTGTGCCCTCCCCTTCCTGAATTAGGAGTCTAACTGAACATAGAAACTGGTCTCTCCTTTTCATCTAGAGAATTCTGAATGCAAAAGTCTTGCTGCAGCAGCCCGTCCCAGCGGGATGAAGAGAAAGCAGACAGAGAGAGCAGCTACACTCTCCCCATCTGGAATGTGGAGTGGAAGGATGTGCTGTGGGCCAAGTGAATGCAGCAGACAGTGACTCAGGCCATCTGGCTGGTGACCCGCCCAAGGTGGCTGGCTGTCTGGTGGGGAGCCCCCTGCATCATGTGCCCCAGGCTGTGATGGGGAGAGCTGGCAGGAGCCTAGGAGTGGGACTCTGAGATGACCCAGTATGCATCAGACAACAGTGCCCTGGAGAGACCCTCAAAGGTCTCTTGAGCCCACACAAGGGGACCCTCCCAGAGAGAGAGTTTGACTGTCAGGACAGCTGCATGACTTACATAAAGGCACCTTTCCCCTAGTCCTTTCCCCTCCCTTCCCGACAACGCCAGAGGGGAAACAGCAGAGAGAGGGCTGGGCGTGGTGGCTCATGCCTGTAATCCCAGCACTTTGGGAGGCTGAGACGGATGGATCACCTGAGGCCAGGAATTCGAGACCAGCCTGGCCAACATGGTGAAACCCCATCTCTACTAAAAAATACAAAAATTAGCCATCACCTGTAATCCTAGCTACTTGGGTGGCTGAGGCAGGAGAATAGCTTGAACCCAGGAAGCAGAGGTTGCAGTGACACGAGATTGTGCCATTGCACTCCAACCTGGGTAACAGAGTGAGACTCTGTCTCAAGAAAAAAAAAAAAAAAGAAGAAGAAAAGAAAAGAAAAAGAAAAAGAAACTGCAGAGAGAGAGGAGAAGAGGAGTAAAATGCAGAAAGAGCAAACAGCCCACCTTCCAGAACAGGGACTGCAAGCCTGGCCTTAGGTGGACGGGAAAAGCCTTTAAACGAATATAAAATTAATCTTTGCCTTCACTTACTGAAATTTTCATACCTGAGATGGAGTCTTAATGACCAGAATGAAGTTTCTCTTAAAACTGAGTGACTAAAAGGCTGTCTGTTCAGCACAAGGAGTAAGGAAGGGGACAAAAGTTTGGAGATTTGGAGCCAGAGGTTGAAAAAAGTATTTCATGGTGTACACCAAACAATTTAGACTAGTCTTGTGTAATATTTATCCATTTGATCTCTGTCTTTTTAAAAACACATAACCACTCACTTTTTTCTTTTTTTTTTTTTTACTTTATCTGAGTCACATACATTTTTACGGTTTCATTTTTTTAAAAACATGTAACTTTTTAATCCAACTGGAATTGATTTTGCCATGCTGTGGCGGAACAGGGACATGGCTTTTACCCTGAGGTTAGGATTGCAATGTGTCCAGGAAAGCCCTGGATTGTCACTGCATGCCTACCTGGGGGGTTTCAGTGAAGAGTCACTGACATTCCTCTTGAAACTTGCAGGGCTCTGCTTGATCATCATCAGGCAGGCTACTGCTCAGGCCCTGGGGAAGGAGAGGAAAGCACAGCAGCTGAGTCACCGGGAGGGAGACACTCATGTGTATAGGGAATCTGTACCCAGAGCTGCGAGGGAACGTGCTTCCTGGCTCTGGGCCACACAGGCTGAACGGCAGTGGGAGGCTGACTGCCTTAGGTGGCTGAAGCAGAATGCTGAGGAATAGGATGGATTTGCTGACGTTTCTTGGAGGATCCGAAGTAGCTTTCACTGTTCCGCTCTCTCCCACTCTGCAGCGCCGCAGGGACTCCTCACCACCTCTGTTGTCCCTGTTCAGCCAAATACTCCATCTAATCCTCCTATCTCTGCCTGTCTTCCAGGCCGCTATCTTTTCTTTCATTTTCCTTTTCAAACTTGAATCTGTTTTCCTCCCTTTCATTTGCTTATCTATTGCTTTCTCCTTGTTTTTTCTTATTACCTTTTTTCCCCTCAAAATTGAAGGGATACTGAGAATTCCCCCCCAATCCCCCCCTCTTTTTTTTTAAAAAACAGGATCTCTCTCTGTTGCCCAGGCTGCAGTGCAGTGGTGCAACCAGAGCTCATTTGCTGCCTCAACCTCCCAGGCTCCAGCAAGCCTCCCACCTCAGCCTCCTGAGTAGCTATGACTGCAGGCATTCACCACTATGCCCAGTGAATTTTTTATTTTTTAATGTTTTTGTAGAGATGGGGTCTTGCTATGTTGCTCAGGCTGGTCTTGAATTTCTTGCCTCAAGTGATCCTCCAGCCTCTGCCTCCCAATGTGCTGGGATTACAGGCATAAGCCGCAGTGCCCAGACATTTCTTCCCATTAAATTAAATTAATTAATTAATTTAGAGACAGGGTCTGGCTCTGTTGCCCAGGCTGGGGTGCGGTGGCACAATCAGAGCTCACTACATTTGCAATCTCTGGGGCTCAAGCAATCCTCCCGCCTCAGCCTCCTGAGTAGCTGGAACTACAAGCATGCACCATCATGCTTAGCTAATTTTTGTACTTTTTGTAGAGACAGGATCTTGCTATGTTGCCCAGGCCAGTCCCAAACTCCTTGGCTCAAGTGATCCTCCTGTCTCAGCCTCCCAGAGTGCTGGGATTACAGGGATGGACCACCATGCCCAGTCATTTTTTCCTATTTTAAATCAACTCTACATATTACTTTTAAATTATCACATATTTAAAATTTGTATTTCACACATACAAGAGAATATATTATAAAATAAAATGACCTCATGTAATTGACACCGAAAAGAAATAAAACATTACCATCTTCCCCCTCCTTCCACAGATTACTAGTCCCTTGAATTTTCTTGCATATTAATTTTTGCAGGAGGCAATGATTTCTTTTTTTTTTTTGAGACAGAGTCTTTCTCTGTCACTCAGGCTGGAGTGCAGTGGTGCGATGTTGGCTCACTGCAACCTGCATCTCGGCTCACTGCAACCTCTGCCTCTGGGGTTCAAGTGATTCTCCTGCCTCAGTCTCCTGAGTAGCTGGGATTACAGGTGCATGCCACCGCATCTGGCTAATTATTGTATTTTTAATAGAGATGGGGTTTCACTATGTTGGCCAGGCGCTGGTCTCGAACTCCTGACCTCAAGTGATCTGCCTACCTCAGCCTCCCAAAATGCTGGGATTACAGGCATGAGCCACCATGCCCGGCCAGGAGGCAACATTTCAAGACATGTTTTTTGGATCCATAATGGAAGGGGATGAGACACAGAGGGAGCCAGGGGCACCTGACATAGACCCTGGAATTCTTACCATTTGAATTAGATCATGATAGCCCCTTTAAAAGGCATGCTGGCTATTTAGGTAGTTTAATACACTAGCACCCTTTAATACTGTAAGAAGGATTTATGTCTTAACTACTCATAAAGATGAAAATAGGTTGGGAGATCCATGATTTATGTGAACACTTCATGTGAAAAAACCTGGAGGCTTCAGTTAGCTACGAGATTTATATAAGCTGAAGGTGTTAAGTGGTCTTGAAAAAGACAAATACAATCGTACAATGTATTACCAGAAGTGTAACGTTCCGGACACAGGAGAAGTCAAGCAATGGAGTATTCGCACTAGTCAGGATAGCACACTCAATGCTGAGCATCGTTACGGAATGAGCAAAGGAATACCTGCACTTGTTCCAGGCCCAGACGTTGAAAACATGCAAAGAAGCAGCAAACAACAGTGGACCGGTAATCTCATCATTCCAAACAACCACTTTTAACTTTTTTTGGAAATATTTTTCCAGGATATTTGCTAAATAGGTGTTAAAAACTAAGAGGGAGAGCAAGGCGGAATGTGTGCAGAGGAAAGTCACCAGAACGGGGTGGTGAGTGAGGCATGGAATTGCAACTGTGTAAAGAGCTATGTCAGGCGAGGGAGGGAGGCCAACTCTTCTGTGTTGTTTCAGAGAATACTATTGGAATCACAGAGATAGGGAGGACCCTGCAAGGGGATGCTGAAAGAGGTATGTTCTTTTTTTTTTTTTTTTTTTTTTTTTTGAGATGGAATTTCGCTCTTGTTGCCCAGGCTGGAGTACAATGGCGCAATCTCGGCTCACTGCAACCTCCGCCTCCTGGGTTCAAGCGATTCTTCTGCCTCAGCCTCCTGAGTAGCTGGGATTATAGGCATGCACCAGCACGCCAGGCTAATTTTGTATTTTTAGTAGAGACGGGGTTTCACCATGTTGGTCAGGCTGGTCTTGAACTCCTGACCTTGTGATCTGCTCGCCTCAGCCTCCCAAAGTGCTGGGATCACAGGCATGAGCCACCGTGCCTGGCCAGTCTTCACATTTCCTTGACTCTTCACTCTGCTTCTGTAGGAGAACTCAGCTTAGCTCATGAACAAGACTTTAAAATGGACTTGCTGAGCAGGAAGACATTTGGTGCCAGTACTGGAACCGTTACGCTTTGCCTCCAAAGAATTTCCTTCCCTCACTTGGAAGCATGTAAATGACATTACCTAATTATAGAATCTCAGAAAAACACAGAATTAAGTCTCCATGGTTGCTTCTGTAGTTTACCCCCAGCAAAGGTTTGTAATCTCAGGCTGGTTTCACTGTGCCACCCAGAACCCACCTTTATCATTTTCCAGACTACCAGTGGTTGGAGACACTTGTTCTGGTAATATCTCCAGCAAAGCCTCATCAGAAAAAATATATTTCTTATAAGAAAATTGTCTGATCCTTTCAGAATAGAAAAGCTTTTGGGTTTTTGGATGTTTCAAGGTACCTGTACTATTGTCTCTACCTTTTTTTTTGAGACACAGTCTCACTTTATGGCCCAGGCTGGAGTGTAGTAGCGTGATCGTGGCTCACTGCAACCTCCACTTCCCAGGCCCAAGTGATTCTCCCACCTCAGCCTCCTGAGTAGCTGGGACCACATACATGCACCACCATGCACAGCTAATTTTTGTATTTTTTGTAGAGACAGGATTTCACCCTGTTGCCCAGGCAGGTCTCAAACTCCTGACCTCAAGTGATCCACCCGCCTTGGCCTCCCAAAGTGCTGGGATTACAGACATGAGCCACCATGCCCAGCCTCCACCTTTTAATCCTAATCAAAATGTGATTTGGTCATTGTTTTTTTTAGATGATGGATTTCTAATTACTTAAGGAATGGGCCTTCTGCATGTGAGCATGTGAGGACTTCTCGGATCCATGCCTAGGTGTGACAAATATTCTCTTCTCTAAAGCAATGTATAACCTGGGAGTAATCCCAGTTGGTCTGGGCTTTAGATTTGCCAGAGGTCTGAGAAGGTATCAAGGTCTAGAAATGTGGATGTGGCTTTTGCATGCTCAGTCGACTTGTTGATTCTGGTGTGTGTATATGCACGCAAAGTTTCAGAGAAAATAGATCGGAAAAAGGCTTGAAAACAGCCTGAGCAAAAACAGGCTGTAGGGCCTCTTTAGGACCTTGCCGGATGCCAGCACAAGGGATAGTCTGTTTGGGGGAATTTCAGGGGTGGAAAAAAGATGCTACAGAGCTGGGTTTGTGTGTTTGGAGAAGAGGGAATTTTATCCCACTCTGTTGTTGACCTGCTGACTCTGTGCTGTAATTGATGAGTTTCTGTGCCTGACTACCACACTGGGCTGAGTAGGCAGAGAGAAGACATTAAATAAGGGTTAAGTTGAATTGGTTTGATCCTAAGAGGGAGACTGGGACCTGGGAGGAAAGATCTTTGGGAAGGCATGTGCTGGGACTGGGCTTGGGAAGTAGAACCCAGACCAGCCTGAAGCCTGGGTACACCCTGGTATGTACTAAATTAGTGGAATGGCATGGAACTGTGCAAATAGTTAAAGCTGGATTGTAGAGAAGTCATTGTTCCACTTCAGATGGCCAACTGACCTTGAGAACCGGAGTGGGCACAATATGGCAAAGTGCACAGAAAGGGCTCTGAGCCCATGACATCGCTTTGAAGGATGACACTTTCTGATCTCTTTACAACCAAAAGCAGAAAGCTACCCTGGTCACTGAAGCCCTCTGTCCAGGGGCTTGCTGGAATTCCTCGACAAGTGTCCAGTAAAATGGACTTCCTTTCCCTTTAATAAGCAAGAGTCCAAGATTCCTCATCAGGTGTGCAGGGGAATCTGTCCTTTCTGGGGACCTCTGAAGAGTTTAATTAACTGATTTCTCAGTGCCTGGCTTTCATCATCTTTTCCATTTTTCAGTTCAGCCACTAGTGTTCAGGACCTGGAAGCAATAATTGGAAATGTTCTAGAAGCAAGCGGGACGGAAGAGGAAGCCCATGCAAGGATGGGGGAGTGAAGAGGAGGAACCTGAGGCTGAAGAGCCACATGCAGCAGGGAAGCCCACACTGGGGATAGAGGCTTGGGAATGCCCTGGCACAGGCAGTGGCCTCAGGGGTGGTGGCTTCAGGGGTGAGCCCGAGGCAAAGTCCTCCTAAGCAGCCAGTCAATTGGCTCAGATGTGGATCAGCCTACGGCTAATCATCCACAAGCAAGCTTAATTTTGCTGGGTGTGACCAGAGATAAAAGAAGTAACAGTCCCAGTCATTTCATGGGAGCGGAGTGATAACACTCTGAAGAGAAACTGTTTAGTTGAAGAAAGAGTCCTTAAAAAGGAAAAAAAATAAGCAAATTCTGAAGCATGGGTTAACTATCAAATGGGCACTTGTAGGTCGTCTCAGTTGTAAACCCTCTAACCAACAAATGGCTTCTGTCGACAGCAAGGAGCTTGCTGCAATAATCCTGGAGGAGAGGCAGTCACAGGCTCTAAATGTGGAAAATGTTGGTAACCCAGGAGAAAGAGCCAGCAAGACTGAAACCAACCAGTCCTAAACCACAGAAAGAAAAAAGTCAACATACCGTTTGTCACCATGTCACCACCAGCCTTGCTAAAGAGCACTCATTGAGTGCATGAGCCCCCAGGTGGCAGCTGAAATCCTCAGCAAACATGACACTGTATTTTATCACGGTGGCATCCCACCCCAAAGGGCAGCTGGAAGCGGTTTGTCAGGGAAAATTCAAGAAACAGAATCCATATCTACTCAGGGCTTATGCTAAACACAGCATCAAATAGAGGTAGTTGAGAAATTTAATTTCATTTGGTGGAGGGAGGGGGTGGGTGGGAGGCAGGGGATAGTGACTGAACAGAGAGAGGGAGGGAGAAAAGAAAGCTTTGAATAAACAATCAATACTTGGCTGGACTTGTGTGAAGAGAGATGACTTGGTAGTTTTCCTCCTTGTTCTGTCCTAACTCATGCTCCTTACAACAGATGGGCTTGAGCCTGTGGAAGGCTGTGTTGCAAATCCACCCTATGTATGGACAGAAAACCTGTTTTACAGTGTTTGAGAGGAGTTCTTAAGTTCCTCTGCATACATCCATGAGCTTCCTACCCTTCTTCCTCACCTGAATGTATGACACTTTTGGACAAACTGTCATTACTTATTGATTTAGATTACATCAAAGAGGTTGAAAGGAAGAAACCCACACTTCTCTGGAAACTCCTGGTTCAATGGAATGTCCTATTCCTTTCACCCCATTCCTTGTGTTGGCAGATAGCTACTTTGTGTCAGGGAAGTGGAGATACATTTGGAGTTTCTGGTTTTGGGGAAAATATATTTTTTAAATTACTAAAATGTAACATTGTTAAACAAAGTGACTAAAACTATGTATTTAAATGTATATATGCACTTAGGGTAAGGTAGAGAGTTTGAGGGTGGGGAGACTAATTTTAGAGCCTACTTAGTGTTAGGTATTTTTGGAAATTATATTATTTAATCCTTACAACAATCAATGAGTCACCCATTATTTCCCACATTTTACAAAGAGAAGAATGGAGTCTCAGACTAACTTGTTTTCCAAAAATCATAAGCACCCTTCACATGGAGACTTGTCTTTTCATGAGACATTAGCTGCCATGATGATATCATTGTGTGAGGAATTTCTGCAGTTTAATGCTAACAGAATGAAATCTAATTTTATGATACATTTATTCGACTTTTTTTTTTTTTTGAGACAGGTCTCACTCTCTCACCCAGGCTGGACTAGAAGGCAGTGATGCCATCTCAGCTCACTGCAACCACTGTGGGCTCAAGCAATCCTCTCGCCTCAGCCTCCCAAATAGGTGGGACCACAGGTGTGTGCCAGCATATCCAGCTAATTTTTTTTTTTTTTTTTTTTGAGACAGAGTCTCGCCCTGTCCCCTAGGCTGGAGTGCAATGGTGCGATCTTGGCTTACTGCAACGTCTGCCTCCCAGGTTCAAGCAATTCTCCTGCCTCAGCCTCCTGAGTAGCTGGGATTACAGGTGCGTACCACGCCTGGCTAATTTTTGTATTTTTAGTACAGACAGGGTTTCACCATGTTGGTCAGGCTGGTCTGGAACTCCTGACCTTGTGATCCGCCCACCTCGGCCTCCCAAAGTGCTGGGATTATGCGCGAGAGCCGCCACGCCGGCCTAATTTTTTTGTATTTCTTGTAGAGACAAATGTTGCCCAGGCTGGTCTTGAACTCCTGAATTCAAGTTATCTGCCTGTGTACGCCAAAGTGCTGGGATTACAGACATGAGCCACCGTGCCGGGCCCATTTATTAGAATTTTAACCTCTAAATCTTGGATTAATGGTGATGGAAAGAATAAGACATGGGGACCATTTTGGAGCTGACATTCGTGATGATTTCCTGTGATGTTCCTCCTGTAAATTTCAGTCGCCCTTAGCAAGTCAGGAGTTGTAGACAACAGATAAATGCAGTGAAACGCTGCTTGGTAATTTGCTCTTTTGTTTTTGGCTTTGACAAAAATGGACACATTTTGGAAAAGCACAGAGATGCTCACCTTTGATAAGAGTGAGAGGTGACAGCGTGTCCGGAGTTTGTTCACAGCCCTCGCTCGCTCTCGGCGCCTCCTCGGCCTTGGCGCCCACTCTGGCCACGCTTGAGCCCCTCAGCCCGCCGCTGCACTGTGGGAGCCCCTTTCTGGGCTGGCCAAGGCTGGAGCTGCTTCCCTCAGCTTGCGGGAAGGTGTGGAGGGAGAGGCGCGGGCGGAACCGGGGCTGTGCGCGGTGCTTGCAGGCCAGTGCGAGTTCCGGGTGGGCGTGGGCTCGGCGGGCAGGTCCGCCCGCAAGCCCCGGAGGTGCAGGTCCACCAGCAAGCCCCGGGCAGTGAGAGGCCTAGCACCTGGGCCAGCAGCTGCTGTGCTCGACTTCTCGCCGGGCCTTAGCTGCCTCCCCAGGCCTCCCAGCGGGGCAGGGCTCGGGACCTGCAGCCCGCCATGCCTGAGCCTCCCCACCTCGCTGTGGGCTCCTACGCCGCCGGAGCCTCCCCCACGAGCGCCGCCCCCTGCTCCACGGCGCCCAGTCCCATCGGCCACCCAAGGGCTGAGGAGTGTGGGCGCACAGGCGCAGGACTGGCAGGCAGCTCCACCTGCACCCTCGGTGCGGGATCCACTGTGTAAAGCCAGCTGGGCTCCTGATTCTGGTGGGGACTTGGAGAACCTTTATGTCTAGCTAAGGGATTGTAAATACACCAATCAGCACTCTGTATCTAGCTCAAGGTTTGTAAACACACCAATCAGCTAGACACAAACCCTGTGTCTAGCTCAGGGTTTGTGAATGCAGCAATCGACACTCTGTGTCTAGCTAATCTAGCGGGGATGTGGAGAACTTTTGTGTCCAGCTCAGGGATTGTAAAGGCACCAATCAGTACCCTGTCAAAACGGACCAATCAGCTCTCTGTAAAACAGACCAATTGGCTCTCTGTAAAATGGACCAATCAGCAGGATGTGGGTGGGGCCAGGTAAGAGAATAAAAGCAGGCTGCCCGAGCCAGCAGCGGTAATCTGCTGTGGTCTTTTTCCACGGTTTGGAAGCTTTATTTTTTTGCTCTTTGCAATAAATATTGTTGCTGCTAATTCTTTGAGTCCACACTGCTTTTGTGAGTTGTAGCACTCACCCGAAGGTTTGCAGCTTCACTCCTGAAGCCAGTGAGACCACGAACCCAACGAGAGGAACGAAGAATTCCAGACGCGCTGCATTAAGAGCTGTAACACTCACTGCGAAGGTCTGCAGCTTCACTTTTGAAGCCAGCAAGACCACGAACCCATCAGAAGGAAGAAACTCCAAACACATCCGAGCAGCAGAAGGAACAAACTCCGGACACGCTGCCTTTAAGAACTGTGACACTCAGAGCGAGGGTCTGCGGCATCACATTTGAAGTCAGTGAGACCAAGAACCCACCGATTCCGGACGCGAGCAGGTTGCTTCAGGGTATAGACATTTGGCACAGTACTGCAGCATAAACCCATCAAGGTAAGCCCTGACATGTTACACGAAAGACACCCTCACCTTTGGAATTATAAAGAGGGGACAGGCTCGGCATGGTGGCTCACGTCTATAATCCCATCACGTTGGGAGGCCAAGGTGGGTGGATTATATGAAGTCAGGAGTTTGAGACCAGCCGGGCCAACATATAATGAAACCCTGTCTCTACTTAAAAAAAAAAAATACAAAAATTAGCTGGGTGTGATGGCACATGCCTGTGGTCCCAGCTACTTCGGAAGCTGAGGCAGGAGAATCATTTGAACCCAGGAGGTCAAGGTTATAGTGAGCCAAGATCATGCCCCTGCACTCCAGAGCCTGGGTGTCAGAGCAAGACTCTCTCAAACGCGCACAAAAAGTGAGGGGACAGATGCAGGACTCAAACTAGCACAGGTATGTGGGATGAGTAAAATAATTTCACGGATACATAAATCTCTCTTTTAATCCCCAGGGCTCATTCATTCTAACCGAAAGCAGATCAGGAGCCATAAGGAATGAATAACTTGATTTTGATTTAATTCTGCAGGGACCGGTTAGACCTAAACACTCAGTTTTTGGCACTAGTGAGTTGTCTCAGTATGTGCCTAAAATAACGACTTGATGTTTCCCTTAGATTTTTAAGTTGCCAAGAGCAGGGGCCAGGCTTATGTGTTGTTTGTGTGCCTTCAGACTCACTCTGCCCTGCTCTGTGGCTTGGGGTGCTGACAGGCGAGGACTCCATCAACAAGCCCCCTTCCTCTGCCTTGTAGTCAGATTTACCCAGTGGGAGGCACAGTGCTAGTCTGTAGGGTGGAGGAGGGGAGGGCTTGCCGCCTCCTGCTGGGTCGTGGTGAGTTCAGGTTGGACAGCCTCCTCTGCCTTTTCAGGTGCTGGCAGCCCCCACTCTTGCTAGCCCAGGATGCTTCTCTGTTCATTGTTTTCTCTAACTATGCCCACACCTCTGTAAATAGCCTCTTTGTGACACTGTCGTCAGATCGCCCAGTTTGGCTGTACTGTCCGTCTCCTGCCTGGACCCTGACTGATTCCTGCTCAGCACAGTGCAGTCATCCTTGGTATCTGTTGGGGATTGGTTCTAGGACCCTAGGAATACCAAAATCCACAGATGCTCAAGTCCCTGATATAATGGCATAGTCAATGCGTATAAAACTTCATCCTCCTGTGTACTCTAAATCATCGCTAAATTTCTTAATATCTACTGCCATGTAAATGCTATGTAAATAGTTATACTACATGGGTTTTAAATTTGTATTATTTATATTGTTGTATTACTTTTACTGCAGTTTTACCCCCAAATATTTTAGATCCATGGTTGGTTGTATCCATGGATATGGAACCTGTGGGTATGAAGGGCTGCCTGTACTTTATACACAGAAGGCATTCAATAAAGGCTGTTTAATTCAGTTAAAGGGAGTGGTCTTGATGATTTTGATATTTTCATTCAAAGATTGCTTATGCTAGGGTAATCAGTTGCCTCAGTTTGGTCTGTGGGGTGTTCCCAGGACTGTGGGCTTTATTTTATTTTTTGAGACAATGTCTCACTCTTATCACCCAGGCTGGAGTACGGTGGCACGATCTTGGCTCATTGCAACCTCTGCCCCCTGGGTTCAAGCAATTGTCATGCCTCAGCCTCCCGAGTAGCTGGGATTACAGGTATGCACCTGCACATCCAGCTAATTTTTGTATTTTTAGTAGAGATGGAGTTTCACCACGTTGGTCAGGCTGGTCTCAAACTCCTGGCCTCAAGCCATCTACCTGCCATGGCCTCCCAAAGTGCTGGGATTACAGGCATGAGCCACTGTGCCTGGCATGAACTGTGGACTTTAAAACAGTTTTAGTTTTAAAACTGTAGCAGTTCTAGATTAACCAGGATGAGTTGGTCACTGTGGCACGTACTCTTTTTAAAAATCTTTACTTGGTATTTGACGAACATTTTCTTATCTTTCGGAAGATTTCTATAATCATAATTTAATTAGTTTTTGTGTTTTTTTAAATTTTTTCTTTGTTTTCTTGAGACAGGTTCTTGCCAAGTAGCTGAGGCTGGTCTCGAACTCTTTACCTTAAGCCATCCTCCCACCTTGGCCTCCCAAAGTGCTTAATTTTTTTGTTGAGATGGGGTCCTGCTGTGTTGCCCAGGCTGGTTGAACTGGCCTCAAGTGTTCCTCCCCCCATTGGCCTCCCAAAGTACTGGGATTAAAGGTATAAGCTACTGTGCCTGGCCTCTGAAGTTGTTTATTAAAAAATATTTCTCTGGCCGGGCGCAGTGGCTCATGCCTGTAATCCCAACACTTTGGGAGGCTGAGGCATGCGGATCAAAAGGTCAGGAGTTTGAGACCAGCCTGACCAACATGATGAAATCCCGTCTCTACTAAAAATACAAAAATTAGCCAGGCACATGCCTATAATCCCAGCTAGTCAGGAGGCTGAGGCAGGAGAATGGTGTGAACCCGGGAGGTGGAGCTTGCAGTGAGCCGAAATCACGCTACTGCATTTCAGCCTGGGCGACAGAGCAAGACTCCATCTAAAAAAAAAAACCCCAAAAAACAAAAATTCTTAATTATGATAAAGTCTGTGTCTGAAACTATTCAGGTAAATTCCTGTGAAGTGGACAGAGCATGTATTGCCATTTTGTGTCTGTTTGAATCTTTTCACTCTCCAGGGAATTCACCCAAGGAAGTGTGAGACAGCAAGCAGTGACGTGTAAGTGTTTCTTAGGAAGTTCTGGGCCAGGCATGGTGGCTCATGCCTGTAGTCCCAGCACTTTTGGAGGCTGAGGTGGGTGGGTCAGTTGAGGCCAGGAGTGGATAGCAGCCTGGCCAACAGGGCAAAACCATCTCTGCTAAAAATACAAAAATTATCCAAGCGTGGTGGCACACACCTGTAATCCCAGCTACTAGGGAGGCTGAGGCATGAGAATTGCTTGACTCCTGGGAGTCGGAGGTTGCAATGAGCTGAGATCATGCCGCTGCACTCCAGCCTGGGTGACAGTGCAAGACTCTGTCTTAAAAACAAAAATAGAAAAACAACACCCCTCCCCTCCCCTCCCCCAGAAAAGTGCTCTCTTCGGCAGCACACAGGGTAAAATTGGAAAGATACAGAGAAGATTAGCAAAATACATTCAATTTTTTTAAGAAAAAGGAAATAAGAGAAGGACTACGTGCTGCATAGTGAAAAATAAGGTTGTTTGAATGTGGTTTCTAGTTGAAAAAACGCTGTTAGGCAGTTAAAATAATAGTTTATTGTTTCCCTATCCTTCCTGCATATGGTTATCCTGAGAAATAGAAAGATATTGACATATTATGAAAAGCATACTTTAATAGTCTGTGTTACTATTTATTGGTATTTTTTAGCTCCTCAGAGGCAGATCAGCTGGGCAGAGGCAAATCAATTGGAAAGAAAAAGCAGCAATCCCAAACCAAGCTAACATTTTGAGAAAAAATCTTTATTTATGCTGTGGTAATAGTTGGAATAGAGTTCATTTTTACTAGCAATATGTTTATTAAATGATAATATTAACAGCTATCATACTGCTTTAGTAAATAGGCTACCTAGGAGAAGGAAATTTAATTGGGTTAAAAATCGACCATGATCCGAATGCTTTTCAATTCAAGATATTATTTTCCAGCAGGAGAGCTTTTGACTGATCACTCCAGGAAGCCAGAATTTCAAATGTTATCCCTTTACTCCTGCCATTTAATACTAATTTTCTTGATCTACTTCTGCTCCCCAAATCCTTGTTTCCTTCTAGGAGTTGGACAAGTTATTTAAAACAAATTAGTAATATTGGTTGTGGTTAAGTTAGAATTTAATAACTCATTTCAGGCATCTTAGGATGGCTCCCTTTGGTAGTATCTTTACATTTTCTATGGATGAAGTAAATGTTATTCATGGAAATGGTTGTTAATATTATTTTCCAAATATAAGACCTTATAAAGAATGTGAAAGACATTGACCTGAGCATATTACATTTAATTCATTTCAACAAACATTTATTTCATGCCTACTAGGTGTAACTGGATAATAGAAAATCGGATTTCACAACGGAAATGCACTAATCCAAACATCAAACTATTGGAAAGAAAGATCAGTCGTCATTCATTCTGGTTAAGTTTTAAGAATTTTTCAAGACCACATTCCCCTTTTGCTTTGTAACCTTGTGAAATTTGTAAGAATTTTTTGCACTCCTCCTCCCTCCAAAATTTGTAAGGTTTTGACTCAATGTTTACAAGTTTTTTTCCTTCAGAGAAATGTGAGGACATGAAATAAGATCCCAGATTTTCCCAGGAAACTCTTTCTAGCTTCCATGGCTTACCCACATATGCACTTTGCAAGGTTAGTTGGTGAGATTTGCGATTAATAATGCAGTAAAGATTAATGGACTTAATAATTATTGGGTCACAATGTTGATTTGCTATAAGCGTTGAAATGGACTACGGAGAGAAATACAGAGGCCAGAGGAATGTGATTTTGTTGTACACAGTGGGGATAATTTGGTCCAAAGCTGAGTTTTCTTTGCAGGCACAGATAAGTTTTTTTCTGTGTAATGGCCATAGAAGGTATTTTGGGGAAAGTGGCAAGAGATCTTGGAAATGCAAATTCTGGTGACTGTTTCAATGAAGAGATGGTACTCATTAAAGATCAAGAAGATCTCTCATTATAGGTGGGCAGAGTATCTGATTCTAATTCAAAATGACTCATCCTGGGTGCTAATGGTTGACTTTGAAGTCTATCAGCCAAGGATCAACCCCCATCATCGTTCTCCTGTCTTTGTTGTCTTCATTATAGCTTCATTCCTTGGCTCTGGAAGTCATTTTAATCTTCATGAAAATGAGTAATAATTTTAAAAGCTCTAAAAAGTGAATATTCTGTTGATTAGCTAATAGGCAGCTAGTAGGCAGCTTAGGCCTTGCAGGAATGGGGGTCAAGATAGGTGTAGAGCTGGGAAAGAGGTACCACATGATGAGTGGGAAGTACTTAGAGGGGAGGGAAGGTGAGGCCACAGTTTAGATGACGTGATGTTAAATTTAAGGACAATGTGTATTAATACCGTTAACCACATCTTTCGACCTAGTAATCCTACTTCTATAAATGGATAGTAAGGAGAGACACCCAGATACATGCACAAGAGTATACATATGAAGATGTTTATTATCACAGTATTATCTAAAAGCAATTTAAAAGTGGAAATAAACAGCCAGGTGTGGTGGCTTACAGCACTTTGAGAGGCCAAGGCGGGTGGATTACCTGAGGTCAGGAGTTCGAGACCAGCCTGGCCAACATGGCAAAACTCCATCTCTACTAAAAATACAAAAAATTAGCCAGGTGTGGTGGTGCATGCCTGTAGGCCTAGCAACTGGGAAGGCTGAGGCAGGAGAATCGTTTGAACCCAGGAGGTGGAGGTTGCAGTGAGCCGAGATTGTTACATTGCACTCCAGCCTGGGCAACAAGAGCAAAACTCTGTCTGAAAAGAAAGAAAAAAAGAAAAAAAAAAACCAGTGGAAATAACCTGAATGTCTATCAATATAACCTGAATGCCTATCAATAAACTGGAATATCCTGCAGGAATCTAAAATGATAATGTAGATGCATATGTCAAAAAAGGCCATGATACATAATCGAGTGAAAAAGAAAATAACAAAATTACAACATCCAAGTTTTGTTTTTTAAAAAAATGCAAATAAAAGAATCAACACACAAATATTAATTTGCCTTAATTGCATTAATCAAATAGAAAAGTTTGGTACTATAAATGATATTACTTCTGGCTAGTGGGAATCTGGATTAAAAAAAACCTTTTTTATACTTTTCAGATTAAGGAAACCATGGGGGCCGAGCATGGTGGTTCACACCTGTAATCCCAGCACTTTGGAAGGTTGAGGTGAGTGAATCACTTGAGATCAGAAGTTCGAGACCAACTTGGCCAACATGGTGAAACCCTGTGTCTACTTATAATACAAAAATCAGCTGGGCGTCATGGCACACGCTGTAATCCCAGCTACTTGGGAGGCTGAGGTGGGAGAATCATTTGAACCCAGGAGGCAGAGGTTGCAGTGAGCTGAGATCGTGCCACTGCATTCCAGCTTGGGCAACAAAAAACAACCAAACAAACGAAAAACAGAAAAAAACCACCACCACCACCACCAATGACAAAAAACTGGGCATTCTTAAAAATGAGAAAAAATGAAATAATAAATTATTTCCTGGTCTATGGCATAATACATAATCTGTTATTGCAAATGTCTTAGGTATATTCAAAAAGAATGTCTGGGACCTGGTCTAGTGGCTCACACCTATAATCCCAGCACTTTGGGAGGCTGAGGCAGGAGGATTGCTTGAGGCCAGGAGACCAGCCTGGGCAGTATAGTGAGACACCATCTCTACAAAATATAAAATCAGCCGGGTGTGGTGGCATGTGCCTACAATCGCAGCTATCTGGGAGGTTGAGGGAGGAGGATCCCTTGAGCCCAGGGGGTTGAGGCTCTTGTGAGCCGTCCTGAGCCACTGCACTTCAGCCTATGTGATAGAGTGAGACCCTGTCTCAAAAAAGGAAAAAGAAAAAAAAAAATCTAACAGGGTGATGTCTGTGAAGACAATGTAAAAAATAAGAAAACAACAAAAACCAAAAAAACCTAACAAAACAACAAAAATCCCTTTCAATTTTTAATTTTTTTTTTTTTTTTTTTTTTTTTTTTTTTTTTTTTGTGAGGGTCTTTGTTCTGTTGCCTAAGCTTCAGTGCAATGACCTGATCATAGCTCACTGTAGCCGCAAACTCCTGGGCTCAAGTGATGCTTCTGCCTCCCACTTCAGCCTCCTGAGTGTCTGGGACTACAGGCACATGCCACTGTGTCCAGCTAATTTTTAATTTTTTTTTTAGAGATGGAGCCTCACATTGTTGGCCAGGCTGTTGCTGAACTCCTGGCCTCAAGAGATCCCCTCACCTCAGCCTCCCAAAGGCCTTTAGCCACCGTGCCTGACCCTCTTTTGTTTTAAAAACTGAAATGCAATTTTGCCTAAGCGGAAGTCCCTTATGGTGGATCCTGGATGAGCCAGCTGCAGCAGAACATCTGTTGGTAAGTTAAAAGCCCCAGCTGCACCAGGCTCTGGAAGCTGTAGGAGTGGAAGCATCCCAGTAGGCGGAACAGGAATTAGGGAATTGAGGATAACCTCTTTCTCAAACTCCTTGGCTGAAGTGATCCTCCTGCCTCAGCCTCTTTAAAGTACTGGAGTCTCAGGTGTGAGCCCCTCACTGCTCCAGCCACGACAACCTCTTCCAAGTGACTTTGGACCCCTTATATCCTACCCACCCTTTTCTTCCTGATTGTGGTCCCAGGTTCCCACTGCCTGCTCATGCTTCCCTTGAATGCCCCAATGACTTCAGACTCATCATTCCCAGAACTGACCTGAACCTCCACCAAGTCTTTCCCAATGAGATGTAATCTTTCCCTCATTTGATTTTTCCATAGCTGTGTCCCTCTCTGGGGTGCCTATTTCATGCTACTTGTATGGTATCAATTTGAGCTCCTGTCTTTTTCGGCTTGCAGAATGAAAGCTCCTTGTCAGTGTCTTTGTCTTGCTCATTGCTAAACACCCTGAAGCACCTTGCTCCATGCTTTTTGTGCACCCAACACCGTATACGGTAAATAAATGAAAGAATGAACAGATGACTTCTTCAGGTTGCTAGCTCTCGTGGTATCTAGACTTGCCTGTTATTTCTTAGCAATGTAGAAAACCACTTTTGCATTCTATCTGGCCCTGTCAAGAATTCAGGCATCCCTTAGTGAAGATGAGGCAAAAAAAAAAAAAAAAAAAATTATTGCTGCCTTCTCTGACGCTTGTAAACACAGAGTGTAGGGTGTGCTATCAATTGACTTGGAGGAAGTGGAAAAGGAAAGGAAGCCAACGATGTCTCAGGTCATTAAAAGTTACTAAAGAGCAATGGGAGACACAAAACTAACCACTGCAATGAAATGGAAGTTCTGGCTACAAAAAATTTATTTAGGGAAGCCAGATAGGAGATTTAAAGAGAATGAAAAAAGAGGAGAGCTTGCGAGAGAGAAGGCGTTGTCCGAACAGCTAGAGTATTATGACTGGAATACCAGAAAGCTTATGTTGAACAATTTCTGACTACATATTGGTAAAGTCTTTTTTTTTTTTTTTGAGATGGAGTCTTGCTGTCACCCAGGCTGGAGTACAGTGGCGCGATCTCGGGCTCACTGCAAGCTCCGCCTCCCGGGTTCACGCCATTCTCCTGCCTCAGCCTCCCGAGTAGCTGGGACTACAGGCACCCACACCACGCCAGGCTAATTTTTTTGTATTTTTAGTAGAGACGGGGTTTCACCGTGTTAACCAGGATGGTCTCGATCTCCTGACCTCATGATCCGCCCGCCTCGGCCTCCCAAAGTGCTGGGATTATAGGCGTGAGCCACCGTGCCCGGCCAGTAAAATCATTTTTAAATAAAAGGGGCCTCTCTAAGAATTCTGCCTACTGCATCAGAACTAATTTGATTCCTGCAAGTTCTTACCGTTGTTTCTCTTCAGGAATAACTTTTGGGTTGGGCCCTCGTATTGCCAGTTTTTCTTCCTGCTTTTTCCCCAGGCTGACCTGTGGCTTGCCTGAAATGTCATAAAATTCTTCCGGGGGCTCTGTGTTCTCTGATGACCACCTGCAATTACAATCCCAACAAGAGGAATTTACTACAGTACATGGGAAAAAACCCAAGGCTCATGGCATTTAATGACTTTCACCAGTTCTACATTGAATCTGAGAGTGAGCCAGCATTTTGTGCTTGTGCAGAGGAAGCAATAAATGTCAGTAAGCAGTGCATCAAAAGTAGCAACACATTTAAAATGATAAGGAATAAAAAGCAATGTTTAAAGTAGTCAAACTTGCTCTTCTTCACCACAATATATGTCAATATGTTGGTTACCTGCAATTTATAATGACGTATTACAATACATGGAAGAGTAAGTAAGCCAAGTGGCCTGATACTTATCATGAGGTTGGAAGGCTATCATTTGCAGTCATGAAAATGTGTCTGCATTACAGCTTAAGGACCATCCCCTTTCCTTTTTTCAGCTTTTCTAGTAGACTGGTGGACACAGATGACAAGGAGGCGCGTCTTGTCCTCATGTGGTCTACAGTCTGGTAGGAAGACATAACTGACGTCTTATACAAAAGGTCTGAAAGCAGGAAGAAGTAACCAAATGCTTTAATGGAGACAAGGAAGTGAGTCATTCTCAGGTAGGGAGGGTGAGAGCCCAAGGCACAGAGGCACGAGAAAGCACGATGCATTTTCAGAGTGGCGAGTGGTTGGGCGTGCCTATGCAGAGGGTTTATGGAAACATGCCATTGGAGATGGTGCTGGAAAGTCTATACCTTTTGGACTTTGTTTTGGAAAAATAAAAAACAACTGAGGTCATTTCCTTTGGCTTTTAAGACACAAAAGTGAAAAAGTCACATATAAATTTAAAACTATTATAACATGTCATTTACAGCTGAGTGGAACCCTCACTCAGGTGGCGCATCAAGATTGCTGCTTGTCAATACAGACAACTGGGATAACCGAGGCCTCTAAACCAGCCAGAACACTCACGGATTCTGTAGTAGTCAGTCCTCAAGTTTGTTGGTGTGACCCTGAAGGCAGCGCTTCATCCTCTAACTTACCTACGCATCCACACTGGGCTCCATATGAATGGCAGCTGGTCGTCTACTTCACAATTTAACTTGGGATCAAATGTGCTCTTCTGGAAGCTGACTTTAAGGCAGGGAATGTTCAGGGTAGCTGAAATCTGCAGAAGCTGGCAGCCTGGGAGCATGGTGCTTCAATCCAGGGCTGGCCAGCAGCAGTGCTGTGATGGGGGCCCAGGTGCTCTTTGGTGTCCTGAACCATGATTATGTGTTTCTGTTGAGAGCTTATTATATACCAGGCATTGCACTGAGCATTGTTCATGGGTTCTCAGACTTAGTCTTCACAACAGTTCTGTGAGCAATCATCTAGAATCATTCTTGTTTGGATGAGACACTGCAGTTCATAAAGGTTAACTTCTCCTAAGTAATAAGTGGTGGAGCTGGGCCTTGAGCCCAGGTGCTCTGATGTTGTCTCTTATCTTCCTTACTCTGTCAGAACTTGACTTCAGTAATGGCGTTAGAGAGACATATTAGTGTCAGGTGTAAATACCCACCGAGAGGCAGTGTGGTGCAGGGATCGGGGACATGGACTGTGGAGTCAGTCTATCCAACACACGTGGGTTTGATCCTGGCCCCAAACCTCCCCTGTGTGGATGAATAAATGACCTAACTCTCCAACCCTCTGTGTTCGCATCTGTAAGGTGCTGGTAACAGCCACACGTCCCGTAAGCATGAGATGATATCACATCTACAAAACTCCTGGCACACGGCATCCTCTCAATGTTAGCTGTGATTATTATCCACAAGGAGTTATGTGAGAATGTTCCTCCAGTGGGATATCTGTGATTT
Organism: Homo sapiens; assembly: GCF_000001405.40. Taxonomy (NCBI): domain Eukaryota; kingdom Metazoa; phylum Chordata; class Mammalia; order Primates; family Hominidae; genus Homo; species Homo sapiens. The sequence goes on along the minus strand of NC_000006.12, from coordinate 4,713,926 downwards.
ACCTATTAGATATTAGTTAAGCCAAAATAAATGAATCTAGGCCAGGTGTGGTGACTCACACCTGTAATCTCAGCACTTTGGGAGGCCGAGGCAGGCAGATCACTGGAGATCTGGAGTTTGAGACCGGCCTGGCCAAAATGGTGAAACTTCATTTCTACTAAAAATACAAAAATTAGCTGGGTGTGGTGGCCCATGCCTGTAATCCCAGCTACTTGGGGGGCTGAGACAGGAGAACTTCTTGAACCCAGGAGGCAGAGGCTGCAGTGAGCTGAGATTGTGCCACTGCACTCCAGCCTGGGCAACGCAGCAAGATTCTGTCTCCAAAAAAAAAAAAAAAGAATCTAAATGATAGAAGTTTTAAGACTCTGTATTCAGTTTTTAATTAAGTCATACTGAAATACCTGCTTGATTGTATGAAATTCAAATAATACAGATAGAGTCGAGTTGTCTTTAGTCACCTCCATGGAATTTGACTTTTCGTCAGTTTCACGGGGAGCCCTGACAAAGAGCAGAGCGGCCTTCTCTTAGCATCTGGAAATTTCCCACGTAGCCTGCGGCCTGCGTCTTGGGGACCTTTCTAGCTTATGGCTCCAGGATCCTCCTCCCGCCACTCCTATTGACAGCATGACTGGGAATCACAGGTGGGAGGAAGGAGATGCCGGGTAGAGCAGAGAAGCACGAGATCCAGGGAGGCAGATTCCAGCTCTGCTCTGACCCAACTGGCTGTGTGATTGGAGCCCTCACTTAATGATTGTGAAATGAGGGTTTGTAACTAGAGAATTGTCAGGGCCATTTTCAAAGAGTCATTTTGCTCGACCCCCTCATGTGGTCACGGCTCACTGCAGCCTCGACCTTCTGGGCTCAAGCGATCCTCCCACCTCAGCCTCCCAAGTTCCTGGATCTACAGGTGCATACCACCACACCTCGCTAATTTTTGTATGTTTTGTAGAGACGGGGTCTTGCCGTGTTGGCAAGCCTGGTCTCAAACGCCTGGCCTCAAGTGATCTGCCCACCCCAGATGCAGGAATGGTGAGCCACATCCACAGTGCCCAGGCTCACATACTTGGTACATACTTGGTAAATGGCAGAGTGAAGGCTGGAAAGAACCCCTTCCTGCTAGTTCTCCTGGCTTGAACATCTGTAGCACGTGAGTCGTGAATGCTTTGCTTTGCTCTCTCATCCAGTTTCTCATAAATGGGAGCCATTTAAAGCTCTGAAATTATCTCGTTCTAACAGTCCGAATCTCCTCTTGGGGACTAGCAGAGTGGTTCCAGGTGTGAATGGGGGTATACGTGATAGTGAATATCCCAGTGTGGAAAGACACAGGGCATGAGAGTACCCACCATCCGCAGCTGTCCTGTCACAAGTGTCCTTCGGCTTGTGCCCGGGTGGGAGGTGGCCCTCCCCAGCCATGGCTGCTGTGGGCTGCTAATCAAAGCCTTAACTGCTGCCGGTGGGAACGGCGGCCACCTGTGTGGGCCCAGCCCCTGCTGTCTTTCTCACTCCGCTGGCCACTGTCACCCTTTCTACCTTCAGTTGGGGACCTTGGCAACAGCCTTGCCCAGGAAGAAATCCAGGGGGGATTCCTAGTATCTCTGCACCTCATGGGGATGGAAATCACTTTAACATCTGCCAAGGATTTGGGATTATTGCTGGAGTGCAGTATTCTAATTCTCTCATGAACATGTGCTCCTAGCCTGAATTCCAGGGCCCCTGTCAGCCTGTCTACTCAAGAGGTGCTCTTTTCTGCCTGTCCTGGCTTGACATTGGTTTATAAAGGTTGCTTTTCCCTCAAATTGGTGGAAGCTTCTGCTTCTACTTAACTGTTATATATTTTTTCTTTTTCTTTCATTTTTGTTTCTTTGAGACGGTCTTGCTCTGTCACCTGGGCTGGAGTGCAGTGGCGTGGTTATGGCTCACTGCAGCCTCGACCTTCTGGGCTCAAGCGATCCTCCCACCTCAGCCTCCCAAATTCCTGGATCTACAGGTGCATACCACCACACCGCGCTAATTTTTGTATTTTTTGTAGAGACTGGGTCTTGCCATGCTGGCCAGCCTGGTTTCAAACTCCGGGCCTCAAGTGATCTGCCCACCCCAGCCTTCCAAAATGTTGGGATTACAGGCATGAGCCACTGTGCCCAGCCTGCTTTTTTCTTTTATACTCGCTTGGTGGTCTGCCCTCCTGTAGCCTCAGCTGAAGCCTCTTCCTGGCCAATTTAGAGCCATAGTGCCTCTGTTTAACCCAGAAGACAAACTCAGCCTTTGGTGTGTATGTCAGCAATAAGTCCAGAAATGTCCTCCTCCCCCCTCCCTCACAAGGAATAACTCTTCAGGGAAGGACTTTCAGAAAAAAACCCCAGCATCTGAATTGCCCTGAGGGCTGTGGTTCTGTGCTGTTCTCTGGGCTCTGCCACCAAATACAGCAGCTGAGTGACCTATCACTGAGAAAGACACAGTTCATAAGACTAAGAGAGAAAGGTGAGGGTAAAGGGCCTTCTGTCGCTCCTGAGGGGGAATCAGAGGAGAGAATGAGGAAAACAGATGGCTGTGAATAAACAACCAGAGAAGAGCCTTGAGGTTGCTAGATTCGGGTCAAGGTGTACGACTTCCCGTAAGTCACTGAAACTTCTTGTTTCTTCCTTTACTCTGTGGCAGGAGAGGGTTAGGTTAAAGGGCCTCCTCTGGAAAAAGCATTCCATTAGCAAACCATGTCTCCACAGCGTTAGAGGCCAGGGTCATGGCCACAGAATCTTAGCCATGGTCCCTGTTCTCAGGGTATTTGTGATCTTAGAGAGACAAGTGCATGGACTGGTGGTGGGGATAAGTCCATTGTGTTGGATTTTGTGCCGACTCGAAGGTCTTATTTCTTTTACAGTATATATTTGAAGTGTGCAGCATGGCATTTTGCAGTACATATCCATAGTGAAATGAATACTACAGTCAAGCAAATTAACATATCCATCTCCTGACAGTTACCTTTGTGTGTGTGTGTGTGTGTGTGTGTGTGTGGTGAGAACACCTGAAATCTACACTCTTTGCCAATTTCCAGCATTCAATACAGTGTTATTAGCTACGGTCAGCATGCTTATTTCAACCACAGGGATTTAGAAAGGGATGATAGTAGTGGTCTGGGAAGCTTTGAGGAGGAGGGAATAGCTTGGAAGGATGGTTAGAATGTGAGTAGGGGAGGGGAGAAGGGAAACATCCAGGTACAAGGAGCAGAGAATAAAGACGGGAGCACAGCGTGCCTGTGGGACCTGGATGAGCCTTGGAGCAGAGGCATCTGTTGGAAGAAGTAGCTGAATAGATTGGATGGGCCTGTGAAACGAGGCCCTAAAAGCCACTGGGTTCCTCCCTCCCTCCCTCCCTGTTTTAGAGGTTTAGAGATAAAACTGGTGAAATTAAAAGGGACCAAAAAAGCAGTGGTTCTCAATCCTGGTGGCACATGAGAAAATTAAGGATGCTGGACTCATTCTCCAGAAATTCTCATGTAATTGGTCTGGAAAGGGGATCTAAATGTAGTTTCCTTCCTTCCTTCCTTCCTTCCCTCCCTCCCTCCCTCCTTCCCTCCCTCCCTTTCTCCCTCCCTTCCTCCTTTCTTTCCTTTTATTCTTCTTTCGATCCTTCCTCTTTCTCTTTCTGCAGAGCAGCAATCAAAATGGAAAAGAAATGAACATAAAGAGATTTGTTTTGTTTTGTTTTTTGAGATGGAATTTCACTCTTGTTGCCCAAGCTAGAGTGCAATGGCATGATCTCAGCTCACTGCAACCTCCACCTCCCAGGTTCAAGTGATTCTCCTGCCTCGGACTCCTGAGTAGCTGGGATTACAGGTGCATGCCACCACGCCCAGCTAATCTTTTGTATTTTTAGCAGAGACAGGGTTTCACTATTTTGGCCAGGCTGGTCTTGAACTCCTGAACACAGACAATCTGCCCGCCTCGGCCTCCCAAAGTGCTGAGATTACAGGCATGAGCCACCGTGCCTGGCCAAAGAGATGTTTTAAGGGGAAAAAATGCTAGCTATCTTGAATAATGAAACATAGCTGAATTAAAGAAGAGATTCTATTCATTTCTTTAAAATATTGGTTGAGCACTTACCATATGCCTCACACCGAATCAAGCTAAGGAAAATCAGAGGTTAAGACCTTTGTCCTGTCTTCAAGGAGTTTATATGTAATAGGTGACAAAATAACCACAATATGAGAAGAATATGAAAGCTGACTTAAGGGTAATTTTTTAAAAAGGTGTAAAGATATAGAGAATAGAGAGACAGAGGTTCCCTCTTGAGGAGAGAGTGAAGGACACTCTACAGAGGTACCACTTAGCTGCAGTTTGAAGCCTGGGGAGGTTTTTGGCAGGGGAGGTGGGGGAAGGGACCCTCACATGACAGTCATCACTAGGTGTAAGAGAAGCCATAAAAATGACTGGGGGCGGCTGGGTGCAATGGCTCACGCCTGTAATCCCAGCACTTTGGGAAGCCGAGGCAGGCGGATCACAAGGTCAGAAGTTCAAGACCAGCTTGACCAACATGATGAAATCCCGTCTCTACTAAAAATACAAAAATTAGCCGGGCATGGGGTGGTGAGTGCCTTTAATTCCAGCTACTTGGCAGGCTGAGGCAGGAGAATTGCTTGAACTCAGGAGGCGGAGGTTGCAGTGAGCCAAGACGGGGCCACTGCACTCCAGCCTGGGCAATAAAGTGAGACCCTGTCTCAAACAAGCAAAATGACTGGGTGCAATGAATAGCAGAATTAGTGCATAGTGACAAACAGCCTTATCCCTAAGAAGCATGAGGTGTATGGAAGGGTTGGTGGAGAAGGTGGATTAGTGCCAGAAAAGGTTAGAAAGGTGAGTTTATTTTTAAAACTGTTAACTAAAAAAAAGTTAACAATATTTTATTTTATTTTATTTTATTTTTTTTAAGACAGGGTCCCACTCTGTCACCCAGGCTGGAGTGCAGTGACATGATCTTGGCTCACTGCAACCTCTGCCTCCTGGGTTCAAGCGATTCTTCCTGTCTCAGCCTCCCAAGCAGCTGAGAGTACAGGCACATGCCAATTTTTGTATTTTTAATAGAGATGGGATTTTGCCATGTTGGCCGGGCTGGTCTTGAACTCCTGACCTCAGGTGATCCACCCATCTTGGCCTCCCAAAGTGCTGGGATTACAGGTGTGAGCCACTGTGCCCAGCCTATTTCTTGACCTTAGTGGTGGTTATATGGATGTCTGTAAGTATTGCTTTAAATATGCATATAAGATTTATAAACTTTATTCATGTAAGTTATATTTCACTGTTTAAAAATGTTTAAGGAACAGTATAAAATCAAAATAATCATCATAAACATATAACACCTACCAATACAATCTTGAGCTATATCAGATACATAGAAAAAATTCAAAAATTAACAGTTGCATTTGGAAATGTTTATTCATTGATATGAATGGGCAAAAATACAATTAAAAATATATGGCCAGGTGTGGTGGCTCATAACTGTAATCCCAGTACTTTGGGAGGACAAGGTGGGCAGATCACTTGAGACCAGGAGTTTGAGATCAGCCTGGACAACATGGTGAAAACCCATCTTTACTAAAAATACAAAAATTAGGCATGGTGGCACGGACCTGTAGTCCCAGGTACTTGGGAGGCTGAGGCATGAGAATTGCTTGAACCCTGGAGGTGGAGGTTGCAGTAAGTCAAGATCATGCCTGGGTGACAGAGCAAGATTCTGTCTCAAATATATATATATATATGTGTGTGTGTGTGTGTGTGTGTGTGTGTGTGTACACAACACAAACAGAAAACATTCTTTTGATTATACCTAAAACATCTGCAATAATAGATCACATATTAGGCCATAAAGGAAGTTTCAGTAAGTTCCAAGGAATCAATCCCATTCTGACAATGTTTTCCAACTACAATGCCATCACAGAATTAATATTTTTTAAAAGATGGCTAAAATAAAGTCCTGCTTATTCAGAAACTAAATAGCACACTATTAAATAACATTTGGACTAAAAAAAATAGAACTGAATAAAATACTACATGATTGAATTTGTACACATCTAAAGCAGTACTTAAAGGCAAATTTATAGTCTTAAATACATTAATTAACAAAAAAGTTAAAAACAAATGAGGTTTCCTAATAAGATATTATCTCACACCCACTAGGATGGCAACTATAAAAAAATCAGAAAATAACAAGTGTTTTGAGGATCAGCTTAACTTTTAAATTAGGTACTATCCGCATATGATAAAATGCACACATTTTAGAAGTCTGATTTTTTAAGGTCTTGAATGCCCAGGTAAGGGATTTGGATGGCTGGAGGTCATACAATACAGTAAACAGTTTAACAGACAGCCGGGGGCTGTGGCTCACGCCTGTAATCCCAGCACTTTGGGAGGCCGAGGAGGGCAGATCACGAGGTCAAGAGATCAAGACCATCCTGGCCAACGTGGTGAAACCCAGTCTCTATTAAAAATACAAAAAATTAGTGTGGTGTCACATGCCTGTAGTCCCAGCTACTCAGGAGGCTGAGGCAGGAGAATCGCTTGAACCCAGGAGACAGAGTTTGCAGTGGGCCAAGACTGTACGCCACTGCACTCCAGCCTGGTGACAGAGCGAGACTCTGTCTCAAATAAAAAACAAAAAACAGACTTGGCATTGAATTACAGTTTAGTCATTTGCTCACTATGTAATCTTGGACAAATGACTTGAGCCTCAGGGCCTTATTTCCTCATCTCCAATGGTGACAGGAATACACCCCTGGGGAATGTAGAAAAGGATCAAATAAAGTATTGTGTGCAATGTATACCTCTTCTTGGATATTTGACTTCATGGAATGCATCTTTTCCTTAAAAAAACCTGATTGAGGCCCTTATTGTAGAAAACACCTGGTAGTTGGTGCCTCTGTTTTATCTTCCAACTCTGGTCTCCATCCTGAACACTGTAACCAAGTTAGGCTCTGTTCAGCATTGCTTTCACCATTCTGTTCCTTCCACAAAAGCTTTTGGCGAGTCCCCACTGGCCTGAGGTGAAAATCTGAATGCTTTACATTAGAGTTCAAGGCCTTCTGAAGTCTGTCCTCAATCTGCTTTGCCACTCTCTGCTCCTCTATATTTGTAGTTTTATTTTATTTATTTTACGACAGTGTCTCACTGTCACCCAGGCTGGAGTGCAGTGGTGCCATCTCGACTCACTGCAGGCTCTGCCTCCAGGATTCAAGCGATTCTTATTCCTCAGCCTCCAGAGTAACTGGAATTACAGGCGCGCACCACCACACCTGGCTAATTTTTGTAATTTTTTTTAGTAGAGACGGGGTTTTACCATGTTGGCCATGCTGGTCTCGAACTCCTGACCTCAGCCCGCCTTGGCCTCCCAAAGTGCTGGGATTACAGGCCTGAGCCACCATACCCGGCCTAATTGTAGTTTTAAAACTCTTAAATTCTCTATAAAATCTGATGTGGCAAAAAACAAACAAACAAATGAAAAGAAAAAAAAACCACCCAAACTCTTAAAGTTACAGAACCCAGAGCTCTTTGTTCAAATGGAATCTCTTGTTCAAAAACATTGTAGCTCCATCCATCAGGCAGATGAGAGTGAAGCTTTTGGTTGAAGCCGGGATGAGGGTCCCAGATTGACTTCCTCTCCCCTCCCATTTCCTCCTTTCCATTCCTACCTGCTTAGTTCCCCGAGATGAGTCTCTTCAGGATATTGTTTGAAACCCATTGCCTTCCGGGAATGTCCTTAGGTAGAAATAGGTCCTCTCTCCTCAAGGAACAAAGGGGTCACTGAACTCCATGTGTGTTACCCTCCACTGGGCCTCTCGCCTGACCCTCCTCTGGTGGTTTGCTCATCAGTCAGGGACCCTGCCTCATAAAAGGCCCCCTCTGTGATGTAATGTTAACATGCTCAGCTACGCCTCTGGCATGAGTACAACAGCAATTTTAATCATATGCCTTTTTGTAGCAGCCTTTAAGCAGCCAAGGGTATCGCAACAAATCACAGCCCCGTGAAAACAGTTTTAACAGGGGACTGTCTGATGTGGTACAAGCATTCCCTTGGTCTGATTTCACCTAGAAAATGTTGTGTCAAGAGCAGTGGTTTTCAAACCTGCAGATGGGGCCTTGGAACTTGTGTTTGCAGATAATCCCCTGAGTTCAGAATCAGTAGTATGGGCACTAGAAAACAGCTAAGGAGAATGGAAATTTCTAGTTGAGTGCAGGGGTGCAGGGAGGATGGTACACTCAGAGACGAGAATATGTGCTGTACTTCGTGTGGATATTTTCTCACATGAAGGAACAGAAGAGTGGAAAGTGCAGAAGAAGTAGGTTTTCAGGGGGTTGTCTTGCTTTCGGTTTTGAGCAGATGGAGTTTAAAACAGCCATGGGCCAATGAAGTGCAGATTTCCAGCAGGTAGTTGGAAATTTGAGTCTGGGACTCAAGAGTGAAGTGAGGGGTGAGCTGATAAAACAGAATCATCTGTATGAAGGAGAGAGTTGAAGGTGTAAAATGAGTGAGTTTTTTAAGGAAGAGAGGAGAGCCTTGTGAAATGCCTATGTTTAGTTTCCAGAGGAAGAGAGTAGAGTGAGTAAAGGAGGTGGGAGATGTGGCCAGAAAGGAACAACAGAAGTTCACCTGCCAACTCACAGGGAGGGAAGAGCTTCTAGGAGGAGGAGGTGGGTGGGTGGCCAATGGGGTGTGATATGGTTAGGCTTTGTGTCCCTATCCAAATCTCATTTTGTCTTTTTTCTTTTTTTTGAGATGGAGTCTCATGCTGTTGCCTAAGCTGGAGTGCACTGGTGCGATCTCTGCTCACTGCAACCTCCGCCTCCCAGGTTCAAGAGATTCTCCTGCCTCAGCCTCCAAAGTAGCTAGGATTACAGGCACCTGCCACCACACCCAGCTAATTTTTGTATTTTCTCTACAGATGGGGTTTTGCCATGTTGGCCAGGCTGGTCTTGAACTCCTGACCTCAGGTGATCCACCCACCTCGGCCTCCCAAAGTGCTGGGATTGCAGGCGTGAGCCACTGTGCCCGGCCAAATCTCATTTTGAATTGTAATCCTCAGATGTCAAGGGAGAAAAGTAATTGAATGATGGGAGTAGTTTCCCCCATGCTGTTCACGTGATAATGAGTGAATTCTCACGAGATCTGATGGTTTTATAATGGTAGTTTTTCTCGTGCTGTCACACAGTCTCTCTTGCCTGCCACCATGTAAGATGAGTCTGCTCCCCCTTCTGCCATGACTGTAAGTTTCCTTCCCAAGGAAGTTGGCTTCCCAAGACATGTGGAATTTAAGCCTCTTTTCTTTATAAATTATCCAGTCTTGGGCAATTCTTTATAGCAGTGTGAAAACGGACTAATACAGGGTGAATGTTATTAACTACAGTTCCTGGGGAGGATAAAAGGTGAGAAGCAGTCAGGACTTTGGAATTCAGGTCACCTTGCAGTATGTATGATGTGGATGGGTGGTTTTCATGGGCCTGAGAGCTGAGTGGGAAGTGAGAAGTCTCCTTTACCTTTCTGGGACTTCATGGAGATCATTTCAATCTGATAAGTCTCCTGACCACCTTCTTACTCTTGCTTTGTACAGAAAATATTATTTTTAAGAAGTCTGGCTGGTGTGGTGGCTTACACCTGTAATCCCAGCACTTTGGGAGGCTGAAGCGGGTGGATCACTTGAGGTTAGGAGTCTGAGACCAGCCTGGCCAACATGGCAAAACCCCATCTCTGCTAAAAATACAAAAATTAGCTGGGTGTGGTGGCGCACGTCTGTAATACCAGCTACTCTGGAGGCTGAGGCAGAGAATCGCTTGAACCTGGGAGGCAGAGATTGCAGTGAGCCAAGATTGTGCCACTGCACTCCAGCCTGGGCAACAGAGCGAGATTCTTTGTGTGTGTGTGTGTGTGTGTGTGTGTGTGTGTGTGTGAGAAAGAGCACACTTTACTGGGAAGCAGACTGCTGCACAGTGACCAACAGACGAAGGCCACCCAATGGGCACTTACACATTGTACTCCAAAAGACACAGGATGTTTTTCTAATAAAAATCACTGGGAACAGGGATTCCTCTGGGCAAATCCCCCAACCTCATCCCTTTCAGGGATTGAGAAATCTCCCAACCATTTTCCTGATGGCAGCTGTGGTTCACTAGAGAGACAGCCCCTCAGGGGTGCCTTCCTGTTTCTTATAAAGAACATTTTCTTTAGATTTTTTGAAGTCTTCATTTGTTGCTTTCATTCTACGTTCTCTTAAGGCCATCAGACCAGCTTCTGTACAGATTTGCCTTGATGTCAGCATCAGAGAGGTCATCTTTAGCCACGATCAAGTCATCCAGGGTTACATCATCTGCCAGCATCATCCTGCTTGTGTGAATCTGAAAGATGCACTTCTTAGTCTTTTCATCAGGCAGGGGGAACTTGATCTTCCTGCCAGTGCGGCCTGGTCTGATAAGTGCTGGATCCAAAGTTTCTCTTCAGTTTGTGGTCATGATATCTTTCACATCTCCCCTAGAATCAAATCCATCCAACTGGTTCAACAGTTCCAACATTGTTTGCTGAATTTCTCTCTCACCACCAGAATTTGAGTCATATCTTTTTGTCCCAATGGCGTCAGTTTCATCAGTAAACACGATGGATGGTGCATGTTCTCCAGCAACTTGAAACAATTCCCGTACAAGTTTGGGCCCATCACCTAGGTACTTCTGAATAAGTTCAGAGCCAACCACTTTCAAGAAAGTGGCTGAGGTTTGGTTTGCTACCGCTTTGGCTAGCAAGGTTTTAACTATGCCAGGTGGACCATAGAGAATGACCCCCTTAGGAGGCTTTATACCCATCTCTTCATAATGTTCAGCATGGGTGAGAGGAAGCTCCACAGATTCCTTAATTTCCTGAATTTGATTATCCAACCTCCCAGTATTGGCATAGGTCTCCTGGGGGACCTTTTCCACCTTCATCACTGTGACCAGGGGATCCACGTCATCCATCAGCACCCCTCTCATGGCATGCACCTTGTGATTGAGCAGGACTGAGCAGCCAGTTGCCAGCAGATCCTTGTCTACAAATGAAAGAATGTTGGCGTAGTGTCCTGAGCCCACAGATGTAGACACGATGGCATGACTGTCATTGATCTCTTCCAAGGTTCCTACTGACATCGGGGTCCCCTCAGATCGTCCACCTTTGATCTTTCCTCCTCTTGCTTTTCTTCTAATGGTTCCATTTGTTCCCGATTCCTTTTGAATTCTTCCTCCATGAGAAGATAGTCCTTAATTCTCTCTAACTTCAGTAATTGTAATGGGCACTGAGTGTGAGGTGTCACCAGTGGCAGTTTGCTGGCAACATCTGATCCTTTTGTTTTCTTCTTTTTCCCCACTCCAGTTGGTACAGGAGGTTCATATTTCTTTTTCTTGTCCTTGTCATCCTTCTTGCCACCTCCAGGACTGTGACCACCACTCTGACTTTGACCCGTCTTGCCTTGGCCACTTGAGCTTGAGACTTTAAAAAAAAAAAAAAAAGAAATCCAATTACTCAACAAAGACTGATTAAGCCCAGAATCACTGATTATTATGATTCTTAAAGTTGAGGCCCTTCAAAGGTGAGGTTTAACTTCTTTGGTGTGGAAGAAATTTTGCATTGAAGAAGAGATTCTTCAACCTTTTAAACCCCTGCAAGTAATTGAGTTTCAGAACCTGTCATTGCTAAATCCCTGTGAGGGCTTTGATTCTGAACCGTTTAAAAGCTATCTTCAGAGGGCCATCTTTTTTGGTGTATTCTTGCTAGCGAGAGGGACAGTCTCCAGGAAGCTCAGAATCTCTCAGTTGTCCAAATAACCTAGCAAAGCTTCCGACAATGGATTCAGAGTGAGATGGTTCTGTCACAGGAATGTGAGATAGGTCTGTTTTCAGTGTCATTTTCTAACTATTGATAACTTGATCTTTTTTCTTGCTTGCTTTTTTTTTTTTTTGAGACGGAGTCTCTCTGAGAGATAAAATTATCTCTGAAAGAGAGGGAAATAGAGACTGCTTCAAAATAACATACTAAGATTTTTACTAGCAATAGAACTGCTAAATGAAATTTAAGATTGCTCTGCAGAAGTATGCCACCAAGCATGCATAAAGTACTAACTTCAAAGTCTAGAAGGAGCTCTTTCCTTTGGATGGTTATTTACAATATTACTAGTTTTATTTACTTTAGTTTGTTTTCAATTCCAGGATTTGCTTCATTTTTTTTTTCAATAGGGTTTAAGTTTATTATTTGAGTATGTAAAAATCTTTGCATGGTTTAAAAATTAAAACTATATGAAAACATATACTTAGAGAAGGTTGTCTCTAATCTCTTCTTTTCGATTCTGCCCCTCTCCCGTAAGTAATCATTTTTTTGCTTGTTTGTTTTTATCTTTTATTACAAAAAACTGCTCCTTGCAGAGCAGGGCTAACTCGTAGGTCATGTGTCCAGAGTTGACTAGGTAGTCATTTTTATTGGTTTCTAAGTTATTCTTTTAATTTTTTTTTTATAAATAAAGGCCACTTATATGTGTATATTACTGTTGTACTATTATTTAATAGCACTATATTATATATTTTTTCTTTTTTAAAATAAAAGGCTGTTAATCTCGTTATTATTCACCATGAATTTTTCACTGAACACACACTGAGGATCACACCATATCAATGGAAGAATTTTTTCATATACTTTACGACCGTACCCTACTTCACTATGTTGAATGTACCATTGTTCCAAATTTATAAATATTTATGTTATTTCCAATCTCTTGTTATTTCAAATAATGTTGCAATAATAACCTCATACTTTATAGTCATTTCATTTATGTGTGGGTATGTCTTTAGGACAGAATTGAAATTGCGTGGTCGGTTGTGTTAACATTTTCATTTTTTTCTTGCCTTCTCATTCTTTATTTTTCTTTAACATTTAAAATTATCAAATAACTTATATATACAGAAGAGTATATGATATACATGCAAACTTGACTGAATACCAGCCCACATTCACAGCTTTGGAATCACACACTACCAGTATCCTTGAAGCCTCCTGTATAACCCTTTCTGATAACACCCCTGCCTCTTCCTACCAGAAGTAGTGATTTTCCTGAACTCTGTGTCAACTGTTTCCTGTATTTTCTTTACATTTATTTATATATACCAATGTATCTCCAAATATATATATAGCTATGTACCTCCAAATATATATATATATATATATATATATATATATATATATGGTACATATATACGTGTATGTCTCCAAATAATGTTTAGTTTTAAACTTATATAAATAAAATCATACTGTGTATAGTCTGTTGTGAGTTATTTTCATTCAACATTATTTTTGCAATGTATCCACACTGATATGTAAAACTATAAGTTATTCATTTTCATATCTGTGTAGTATTCTCTTGATTATATCATCACTTACTTATCCATGCTACTCTTGATAGATATTGGGTTGTCTCCAGTTTTTCATTACAAACAGTGCTGCAATAAGTATCCTTGTATGTATTTGTGGTTTACATATCCAACAGTTTCTTTTTTTTTTTAATTATACTAAGTTTTAGGGTACATGTGCACAATGTGCAGGTTAGTTACATATGTATACATGTGCCATGTTGGTGTGCTGCACCCATTAACTCGTCATTTAGCATTAGGTATATCTCCTAATGCTCTCCCTCCCCCCTCCCCCCACCCCACAACAGGCCCCGGTGTGTGATGTTCCCCTTCCTGTGTCCATGTGTTCTCATTGTTCAATTCCCGCCTGTGAGTGAGAACATATGGTGTTTGGTTTTTTGTCCTTGTGATAGTTTGCTGAGAATGATGGTTTCCAGCTTCATCCATGTCCCTACAAAGGACATGAACTCATCATTTTTTATGGCTGCATAGTATTCCATGGTGTATATGTGCCACATTGTCTTAATCCAGTCTATCATTGTTGGACATTTGGGTTGGTTCCAAGTCTTTGCTATTGTGAGTAGTGCCACAATAAACATACGTGTGCATGTGTCTTTATAGCAGCATGATTTATAATCTTTTGGGTATATACCCAGTAATGGGATTGCTGGGTCAAATGGTATTTCTAGTTCTAGATCCTTGAGGAATCATAAGAGTTTCTTTAGGGTCTATACCTAGGAAAACAATTGTTGGGCTGCTTAGTATGTACAAATACAACTTTGCTGATGTATTGATTCAGGTAGAGAACAAACGGCAGAATGCACCCTCATTCATTAAAGCAGAAAGGGATTTATGATAGATGATTGATCATTTACAGAATTGTTGGGAGGGTTAAAGAAATAGACTCAACACTGAACTTCTAGTGATAATTCCCAAGGCCACACCAAAGCCACACTGAGCCATCAAGAAAGCTGCCACTTTTCCCGTCAATGGGAAGCTATGTTTTGAATTGGAAAGCTGCCAATACAATCTGACTCCAAAGCCACAGTGCCTTGGGCACAATTAGGGACCACTTCAGCTAAATCAAGAAGCCACTGTCAGACCTGCTGGCTCCAGAACCAAACACAGCTCTGAAATCACCTTCTAAAATTGGGAAGCCACCATTTTAATCCCTGCCAGTAAAACAAATACTGTCAGCCTTGCCTCTCTCTCTTCACTTAACTCAGTTCAGGTCTCACTGAGAGCATTGGATGGGTCAAACTTTAATCGTATATGGAACCCTAGCTATAAGGGTGTCTTGCAAATGGGGTTTTTAGTTTTCTGCCCTTTGAAATATAGGAAGGCACCCTAGGAGAAGGTGGAATAAAAGTTGAGCAAACCAGTTCATAGTATCTGGTGCATGAAGTAATGACAATTTCTAATGTGGTTGAGCCAACTCCTGCCAGGAATGTATGAGAATGTCTGTGGTTCTAAACTTTTGGCAATGCTTGATTTTGTTGGGCTTCTGTTTTTGAAAATCTATTTTATTGTCATTCTAATTTGAAGTTCCCTGATTAATACTGAGGTTGAGTATGTCTTTGTAGATATCTTGGCCGTTCATATTTCTTTTTCACAGATATGCCTGTTTAAGCCTTCTGTACGTTTCATTTTTTTTTCTTTAGCATACTCTACATATTCTGTACAATGATTCATTGTTGGTTATAATTACGAGTATCTTCTCACATTGAGGCTTATCTATTTACCCTCCTAATGGTGATTCTACTCAATAGCATTCTTTTTATTAGTCAGTTTTATTAATTTTTTCTTTATAGTTTGTATTTTCCATGCTTGATTAAAAATCTTTCCCTACTCACAGATCATTAGAATATTCTTTTGTATTTTCTCTAAGTGTTTTAAAGTTTTGTTTTCCCTGTTTTGGTTCCTGATACACCTGAAATTGATTTTTATGTATGGTATGGGACAGAAATCCATTTTCACTTTTTTTTTTTCTATATGGATAGCCCCTCTGATCTGCAATGCTGGATCTATCATATATCATAAAGTGTGGATCAGTTCCTGGGTTCTCTTTTTGTTCCGTTGGTCTGTTTTTCATCCTCGTGCTAATAACACACAATCTAATTACTTATAATATGTCATTTCTGGCAGAACACTTTCCCTGTTTCAGCTTTTTGGTCACTGGCCCTTCTTTATACATTTTAGAATGTTTGCCAAGTTCTATGAAATGTCTTATTGGTATTTTTGTTAGAATTACATTGAATCGGCCAGGCACAGTGGCTCACGCCTGTAATCCCAGCACTTTGGGAGGCTGAGGCAGGTGAATCCCCTGAGGTCAGGAGTTCGAGACCAGCCTGGCCAGCATGGGGAAACCCTGTCTCTACTAAAAATATGAAAAAAAATTAGCCAGACATGGTGGTGGGCACCTGTAATCCCAGCTGCTTGGGAGGCTGAGGCAAGAGAATCGCTTGAACCTGGGAAATGGAGGTTTCAGTAAGCCAAGATCGTGCCATTGCACTCCAGCCTGGGCAACAAGAGTGAAACTCCGTCTCAAAAAAAAAAAAAAAAAAAAGAATTACATGGAATCCATATGAAAGTTTAGGGGAGAATTGATTGATCTTTAAGATATTTAATCTTCCTATCCATGGAAAAAGTGTTGTTGTTCTCTTTATTTAGGTCCTATTGAAGACCTTTCACTAAAGTTTTATAACTTTCTGCCAAAAGGTCTGGTATATCTTTTGCTAGACTAATTCTTTGGTACCTTATTTTGTTGTTGCTACTGTAAATAATATTTTAAAACTTTATTTTCCACCTGTTTTTTGGCTGGTGTTTAGAAACGCAGTTGATGCACATGTGGATTTTATGCCTAGGAAACTTACTAAACTCTTCTATTACTTCTAATAATGTATATGATATGGGTTTTCTGTGTCCCCACCCAAATCTCATCTTGAATTATAGTTCCTATAGTCCCCATGTGTCATGGGAGGGAACAGGTAGAGATAACTGAATCACGGGGGTGGTTCCCCCCATCCTGCTCTTGTGATAGTGCATAAGTTCTCATGAGATCAGATGGTTTTATAAAGGACTTTTCCCTTTGCTCGGCGTTCCTTCTCCTCCCCGCTGCCATGTGAAGAAGGACGTGTTGGCTTCCCTTTTCACCATGATTATAAGTTTCCTGAGGCCTCCCTAGCCATGCTGAACTGTGAGTCAATTAAACCTCTTTATAAATTACCCAGTCTTGGGTATGTCTTTGTTAGCAGCTTGAGAATGGACTAATACAGTATAGATAACTGGAAGTTTTCTGTGTAGAATATAATACCTGCATATAATGACAGATATTTTTTGAATCTGTATTATTTTCCTTATCTTTGCTTGTATTCTTATTTTTGCACAGGTTAGAATTCCAATGCAGCACTGAGTAGAACTGAGGATTATGTAACATCTTATTATGCCTGATTTTTAAAAGTACGTGTTAATATTTCACAATTGAAAAAACCTTTTTTTGCTCATTAGTTTGAAGATATACTTATCATGTTAAGAACATTCCTTTTTGTTTCTAGTGTGTAAGTGATTTTATTTTTTTACTTTTTGTCTCATGAATGTTGTTTTGAATTTTATCACACACTTTCTCATCTCAAGTAAGATAACAACATAGGCCAGGCGCGGTGGCTCACGCCTATAATCCCAGCACTTTGGGAGGCCAAGGTGGGCAGACCACGAGGTCAGGAGATTGAGACCATCCTGGCTAACACAGTGAAACCCCATCTCTACTAAAAATACTAAAAATTAGCCGGTCGTGGTGATGGGCGCCTGTAGTCCCAGCTACTTGGGAGGCTGAGGCAGGAGAATGGTGTGAACCCAGGAGACGGAGGTTGCAGTGAGCCAAGATTGCACCACTGCACTCCAGCCTGGGCAACAGAACGAGACTCCGTCTCAAAAAAAAAAAAAAAATCACAACATAATTTTTCTTCAACGAATAAGCTAAATTACATTAATTTATGTTCTAATGATCTAACTTTTCATTCCTGGAATAAACCCAACTTGGTCATTTTTTTAAAATTTTAATTGCTGGATTCAGTTTGGTAATATTTTGTTCAGGATTCTTGCATCTATGTTCATGGAGATTGACCTTCAATTTTTCTTTCCAATATTGACCTTTTTACTTTTTTTTATACTAAGCTTGCAATTGCTCACAAAACGAGTCAGCATAGTGTTCCTTCTTTTTCTATTCTGTAAAGAGTTAGTGTGTGTGGTGAGAACACTTAAGGTCTACCCATTTAGCAAATTTTAAGTATACAAAGCAGTATTGTTAACAGTAGTCACCAGGCTGTATATTAGATCTCCAGAACTTATTCATCTTGCATAACTGAAAATTTGTACTCCTTGACCAACATCTCCCCATCTCCCCTCCCCTCAGCCACTGGTAACCACCATTCCATTCTGTTTCTTTTCTTTTCTTTCTTTCTTTTTTTTTTTTTGTTTGAAACGGAGTCTCACTCGGTCGCCCAGGCTAGAGTGCAGTGGTGCAATCTCGGCTCACTGCAACCTCCGCCTCCTGGGTTCAAGCGATTCTCCTGCCTCAGCCTCCTGAGTATCTCAGATTACAGGCACGTGCCACCATGCCCGGCTAATTTTTGTATTTTTAGTAGAGATGGGGTTTCACCATGTTGGTTAGGCTGGTCTTGAACTCCTGACCTCAAGATCTGCCCGCCTTGGCCTCCCAAAGTGCTGGGATTACAGGCATGAGCCACCGTACCTGGCCCCCTTTTTAATTTTTTTTTTTTTTTTTTTTTGAGATGGAGTTTCGTTCTTGTTGCCCAGGCTGGAGTGCAGTGGTGCAATCTCGGCTCACTGCAACCTCCACCTCCTGGGTTCAAGTGATTCTCCTGCCTCAGGCTCCCAAGTAGCTGGGATTACAGGCATGCGTCACTACGTCCAGCTAGTTTTGTAATTTTTTTTTTCTTTTTTTTTAGTAGAGACAGGGTTTCTCTATGTTGGTCAGGCTGGTCTTGAACTCCCCACCTCAGGTGATTAGCCCACCTCAGCATCCCAAAGTGCTGGGATTACAGGTGTGAGCCACTGAGCCCGGCCTCCCTTTTTAATTTTTTAAAGCAACCTCCATACTGTTTTCCATAATGGCTTTATCAATTTACCTTCCCACCAAAAGGTACCAGGGTTCCCTTTCTCTGCATCTTCACCAACACTTCTTATTGCTTGTCTTTTTGATAATGTCCTAACAGAATTGAAGTGATATCTTATTGCAGTTTTGATTTGCATTTCCCTGATGATTAGTGATGTCAAGCACCTTTTCATGTACCTGTTGCTTATTTGTATGTCTTTGGATTATTGGGCTTTTGAAGATGCTAGAGGCAACCAGGTTAATGGAGAGATCAGTACTTGGGATCAGAGACATGTTTGAGCTCTGATCTTTATTATTTAGTGCTAAGAATTTTTGGGCTGGTAACTTACATATTTGGGACTCAGTTTCCTCCTAAGTTAAATGGATGTAGTAGTACACACTGTCTCCGCCTTTCAGAGTTGTGTACTGTGAGCACCAAATGGAATACTTTACGGTATGTGAAAGTGCAGTATAAATCCTCTAAGAAAGAGAACCACCTCTCCTAAAGCTGACCTTAGGGAAAATATTGTCTTGTGGATTGTTTTCAAAACAGATTCTCTCCCTGGTATTTTAAATCAGAGCAGGGAGCAGAAATGTTCCTGGAGACAACCTCTGCTTATAAGGTTGGGGTCAGGAGCTCTGACAATGTACTTCCAGAAGAGATGATGTTGGCAGTTTGTGAAGTTAAATTCGTAGACTTTCCAGGTAACTTTCCAGGTAGTTTAGAATGTTAGATCTGGATTTCTTACAGGTCATCTGGTCAATGATGAACTTCAGTCCTTGAAGGTATTTAACTTATATCTAGAGAATTATTATCTTAATTTTAAATTGCACATTAATTTTGCAAATATGTTTTAACTTATTAAAAAATACCTTCTCATGGTAATGGTACAGAGATATTTAAAATGGTATGAAAGACATAACTGAAAAGTCTGGGGCCAGGTATAGTGGCTCACACCTGTAATCTCAGCACTTTAGAAGCTGAGGCAAGCAGATCACTTGAGGTCAGGAGTTTGAAACCAGCCTGGCCAACATGGTGAAACCTCGTCTTTACTAAAAATACAAAAATTGGTCAGGTGTGGTGGCTCACGCCTGTAATCCCAGCACTTTGGGAGGCTGAGTCGGGCGGATCATGAGGTCAGGAGATCGAGACCATCCTGGCTAACACGGTGAAACCTCGTCTCTACTAAAAATACCAAAAATTAGCCGGGCGTGGTGGTGGGCGCCTGTAGTCCCAGCTACTCTGGATGCTGAGGCAGGAGAATGGCATGAACCCGGGAGGTGGAGTTTACAGTGAGCTGAGATCACGCCACTGCACTCCAGCCTAGGAGACAAAGTGAGACTCCATCTCAAAAAAAAAAGAAAAAAGAAAAATACAGAAATTAGCTGGGCGTGGGCAGATGCCTATAATCCCAGCTACTTGGGAGACTGAGGCAGGAGAATTGCTTGAACCTGGGAGGCAGAGTTTGCAGTGAGCTGAGATTGTGCCACTGCACTCCAGACTGGGTGACAGAGACGCCAAAAAAAAAAAAAAAAAAAAGTCCAAGCCTTCCTTTTTCTTCAGCCACCTCAGCCTGTTTTTCTCCTTAGAGATACAAGTTTTTAAACTTCCTCTTTTTGGTTCTTCTGGTAGTTACTGCCGTGCTTGCAATGATGTGATTTTACCTCTGTTCCTTGATTTATAATTTTTTGACAGTATCTATTGTCTCCCCATTACAACAATGATTAATTTATGTTTCTTTCTTTTCTTCCACTTTAGTTTCTGCTTGACACATTTTATTTTTAGTTCCTCTCTTGGCTACCACTGTAGCTTTAAGTAGTATTTTTGGACTTTTACATCCTGACCTATTGGTTAGAGTTTCCCTTGAATTTTCACTCTGTAAAATGAGAAAATTGGTTCCCCTGCATTTCCCTTCACTGTTCCAGCTCCATCTGTCTCTTGGCTGCTGTCATCATTTCACCGTCTAGGTTTACAACACATATTGTGTTCTATAACCATATGTGTCCTTTATGCTTTGCCTAGAGGTTGATTCTAAAAACTGAAAGCCAATATCTGTAGTTTATAATAAGATTATATAAATATTTGTTCAATGAAGAACCACGTAATGTGATTGTGTAACTAGAGAAGGAAATGAGATCCTATGCTTATAAACCCAGGTACTTAAGAGAGTGATTTTTAGGAGACAGGAAGAGGGACAGCATATTTTAACTATTTACCTTTATTATTATTTTTTTTTACAGGCTAAATTGAACTCCTGGGCTCAAGCGATCTTCCCATCTCTGCCTCCTGAGTAGCTGGGACTACAGATACATGCCTGGCTTACTTTTATTATTTTATGCATCCATCTTATAACTAAAATTATCCACTTTTAAGTGTTAAAGTTTCTTGCAGGGAATCAATTTTCTTTATGAATACACTTAGTTTAGAGCTTCTGAATTTTCTTATTTTTCTAGGTTCTAATTTGGATCTAGCTGTTGCACAGCGATCACCCTAGAGTATCTTTTCACGCTCTCCTGGGTTAACACTACTGTGTCTGTCACTTTCTTGCACTCCTTTGTTGTTTGGCTGGGGTGCATACTTGAGTAGTGCTCTCAGAGAAGATCACTATTTGATAAATATCAGAGTCTTTGCTTATCCATTAATATCTAGGTTTTATTTTTATTCTTGATTGATAGCTCAGGAAGCTATAACCTTTTATGTTATTTCGTCAAAACTTAAAGGTAATACTTTATTGTCCTATGGCATTGAAGATTGCTGATTAAAAATCTAATGCCAATATGATTCTGGTTCCTTTGTAGGCAACTTATTCTGTCTGGAAACTTCATATTTGGCATTCTAAAATTTTATGATGATAGCTCTAGGGTTGTGTATGTGTGTGCTTTTTTTTTTTTTCCCCCAAGACGGAGTCTCACTCTGTCACCCAGGCTGGAGTGCAGTGGCACGATCTTGGCTCACTGCAACCTTCGCCCCCAGGGATCAAGTGAGTCTCCTGCCTCAGCCTCCTGAGTAGCTGGGATTACAGGTGCCTGCCACTGCACCTGGCTAATTTTTGTATTTTTAGTAGAGACGGGGTTTCACCATCTTGGCCAGGCTGGTCTTGAACTCCTGACCTCATGATGCACCCACCTTGGCCTCCCAAAGTGCTGGGATTACAGGCATGAGCCACCATGCCTGGCCATGTGTGTGCATTTTAACTTATCCTTTTCATGACTTAGTGATGCCTGGAGACTCACATCTTTCTTTTGTTCTGGAAAAATGTAATAATTTTCTTCTTGCCTGTTGTCCTCTTTTACTTGAACATGTATTAGGTGGATATTAGGATTTTTGAATTGATCTTTTTAAGTCTCAACTTTTTAAGTGATTTTTTTCTAAATCTTTGCATTTTAAATTTATAATCCGAAAGATCAGTGTTTTGCTTCTAGCTCTTTTATTGAATTTTTGATTTTGTCAATTGTATTTTAAAAATTCAAGAATTATTTTGTTACCTACTCTTTTTGGTGAGCAGCTTGTATTTCTTTTCTTTTTTAATGAATAAACTATAAAGTCTCTGAGAGATAGTTTAGAAAGTTTTGAAGCTCTTTTCTATTGTCTGCATTATCCATTTCCTCTAGGGTCTTTTGTTTTTGTTTATTTTATTCGGTCTCTCTTGGTCTATTTTTTCTACTAATTAATTACTAATTGATTGGTTATAAATAATATTCATTTAGTTCTAATTCTGAGCCAGACCCTGAGCAAGACAGAGTTTCTACCCTCATGGAGCTTGCATCATAGGGCAGAAGTCACAATTACCATGTATGTAAATGGACACACAGGAATTCCAATTTGTAGTAAGTACCATGAAGGAAATAAGCAGGGTGGTGTGAGAGTGAGTGATGGGGAGCCCTCTTTCAGAATGGGGTGTGTGAGCTGACAGCTGGAAGACAAGGGGCAGCCAGCAAGGTGACCACAGCCAGGGGGTGTCTGGAGAGGAGAAAGGGTCAGATAAGGTGCACCTCTAGGTAGGCTCTGGGGTAAGGAACTTGCCTTTGATTTAAGTGCAGTAGGAAGCCATAGGAGCATATTAAGAGGGATGTGATGCAATGGAATACTATTCAGCCATAAAAAAGAATGAAATCATGTGTTTCGCTGCAACGCAGATGAAACTGGAGGCCATTTTCTTAAGTGAAACAAGTCAGACACAGACAAATACCACATGTATTCACTTACAAGTGAGAGCTAAATAATGGGTAGATGTGGACATAGAGTGTGGAATGATGACCATGGACACTTGGAAGGGCGAGGGGGTGGGAGGGAGGTGAATGATGAGAGATTATTTAATGTGTACAAGGTACATTATTCGGGTGATGGATACCCTAAAAACCCTGGCTTCACCACTACACCATCTATGCATATGGCAAAATTACACCTGTACCCTATACATTTATACAAATAAAAAAGAGTGAAAAAAGGGGAGGGATGGTCTGATCTGACCTACGTTTCTAATGATCCACTCTAGCTGCTGAGTGGAGAATGACCCGAGACAGGCAAAAATAGCGGAGGGAGGATCATGAGGACTCTGCTGCAACTAGCTAAGCTCAGAGAAGGGTAGGGTGGCTGGGTATCCTGGGGAAATGGTAAGGGAGCATCACCAGCAGAGCATGGTGTCAGAAAGGCAGGACAGAAAGTGTTCATGGAGAGAGTCGTTCAGTACGTCAGTGCTGCTGAAAGGTCACAGAAGGCTAGGACAGAGCGGTGGGCACCCTGCTTGGCAGGTGAAGGTTGCTGGTGACTTGATAGCCTCGGGGGAGGGCTGAAGAGAACCTCAGATGGTGGGAGGCGTTCACCCAGGTTTTCGACATAGTAACTGCACAGTAAGTTACTGCAGTGGTGTATTTGTCACTTTCCATTGGATATGGTTTGGGTCTGTGTCTGTGCCCAAATCTCATGTGGAATTGTAATCCCCATTGTTGGTGGAGGGGCTTGATGGGAGGTGATTGGATCACGGGCGCCGACTTTCCCCTTGCTGTTCTCGTGATGGTGAGTGAGTTCTCACGAGATCTGGTTGTTTAAAAGTATGTAGCACCTCCCCTTTCTCTTGGTGGTCCTCCTGCTCCTGCCAAGTAAGACGTGCCAGCTTCCCCTTCACCTCCCACCATGATTGTTGCCTGAGGCCTCCCCAGCCAGGCTTCCTGTAGAGCCTGTGGAATGGTGAGCCAATTAAATCTCTTTTCTTTATAAATTACTCAGTCTTGGCCAGGCATGGTGGCTCATGCCTGTAATCCCAACACTTTGGGAGGCTGAGGCAGGTGGATTGCTTGAGCTCAGGAGTTCTAGACCAGCCTGGCCAACATGGTGAAACCTCCTCTGTACTAAAAATACAAAAATTAGCCCGGTGTGGTGGCAGGTGCCTGTAGTCCCAGCTACGTGAGAGACTGAGGTGGGAGAATAATGCCTTGAGCCTAGGAGGCAGAGGTTGCAGTGAGCTGAGATTGTGCCACTGCACTCCAGCCTGGGCAATAGAGCAAGACGCTGTCTCAAAAAATAAAAATAAATTAAAAAAATACCCAGTCTCAGGTAGTTCTTTTTTTTTTTTTTTTTTTTTTTTTTGAGACGGAGTATCGCCCTGTCGCCCAGGTTGGAGTGCAGTGGCACGATCTCTGCTCACTGCAACCTCCGCCTCTGGGTTCAAGCAATTCTCCTGCCTCAGCCTCCTGAATAGGTGGGACTACAGACATGCACCACCATGCCTGGCTAATTTTTGTATTTTTAGTAGACACAGGGTTTCACCATGTTGGCCAGGCTGGTCTCGAACTCCTGACCTTAGTTGATACACCCACCTTGGCCTCCCAAAGTGCTGGGAATATGGGCGTGAGCCACTGCGCCTGGTCTCAGGTAGTTCTTTATAGTAATGTGAGAATGGACCAATACACCGTTGGTAGCTTGGAAATGGAAATTCCTTGAATAGTTGCTCCCAGCCCCAAACACTTTGTAGAACCCCCCTAATTTCTTCCAAAGCCCTCCTGTTTTCTGTACATTTCCTCCTTTTCTTATGACTCCATCAGAAAATATCTTACATGAGGAAGAAATGGTTTAAAACATTTCTATTTACTTTCATGTTATTTCTGATTATCTACCAGAGAGCATAACTTTTTTTTTCTTTTTTTTTTTTTGAGGTGGAGTCTCACTTACTGTTGCCCAGGCGGTGCCATCTCGGCTCACTGCAACCTCTGCCTCCTAGGTTCAAGAGATTCTCCTGCCTCAGCCTCTCGAGTAGCTGGGACTACAGGTGTGTTCTACCACGTCCGGCTAATTTTTTTTTTTTTTCACTAGAAATGGGGGTTTCCCCATGTTGACCAGACTGGTCTCAAACTCATGACCTCAAGTGATCCACCCACCTCAGCCTCTCAAAGTGGGATGTTCAGTACAGACACGTTTTTCCAGCTATTTTCAATCGGAAATAATCTGAAATCAGATTATCGAAATCGGTTGGTTGAATCCACAGACGTGGAATCCATGGATACAGAGGGCCAACTATACTTGGTGGTCAAACCTACGCATGATTTCAAAGCCCATGCTCATTCATTCTTCTTTCCTTTTTTTCTACTTTAACTTTTACTTTTGTTAAAGCCACGTATGTATAGAGTGCAAATATTAAGATCACTCAACATGGCTGATTGTCAAACATTGCAGCAGTTCCCTGTCCCACTTTCCAGAAGCACCTCCTTGTAACTTTCACCTGAGTGTTTTCATGTTCATTTCCGTATTTGTAAAATATGTAAATTGGTAAATATGTAAAATGCTAGCATGTTTCTTGAAGAAAAAATGTGGGTAGTAAGTATTTGCTGGAATACAAAGATTTCACCGTCTTTTACCCGCCTGTCTCTCAGAACACAATTTAAGTCTTCTCCATTCTCTTTATCCAGTTAAGTTCTAATTTTGGCTGGCTCATTTTTCAGTGTTTATTGTGACTATGCTTGCTGAGTCACGCGGTACACAATCATTACGTTTCCTTCCTCTTGCACTTTTTTATTTTCCATAGAGTTAATAATTGTCTTCCAGTTCTATTTGCTTATTTTTCTGTATACTTGTAACTAATTCAATGCCAGCTCTTTCAATTGGGCATACCTCTCAATATGTTTAATTTCATTTTCTTGAAGAAATCTCTTCTGGATCTTCTGATCTGCTCCAAACTGCACGGGTTGCTCACACAGCAGTGACTCATCTGCCATCTTGCGTTCTGCCTCCACCCATTATCTGGGTGATTTCTTCACTTCTTTCCCTGCAGGTCTGAAAAGGCCTTTATCGTGTCATCTCATTTCATTGATAGTTTGGCTGAGTATTCAATTCTAGGTTTTAAAATTTGGAATTTGGAATTTGGAAGTTCTGCTCTGTTATATTCTGCCTTGTTACTTAAGACCTGCGTTGTTCTCTCTCTCTCTCTCGAAGTTTGTAGACTCTTTCTCTGTCCCTAGTGTTCCTATATGTCACAATGATGCACTTTGTTGTGGGTTTATTTTGTCTTCTGGGACTTGGTGGGCTCCTTTTAATCTAGAAACTTATGTCTTTCAATTCTGAGAGATTTTTCTTGAATAATTTTGCTGATGGTTTCTTTATTTTCTCTTTTTGAAACTCCTGGACAGTTCTCTAATTTTCTTATTTTTTTCTTGTCTATTTTCTATCTCTTTTTCTGTTTACCCTTCTCTCTGGGAAATTTTCCCAACCTAGTCTTCTATTGCAAGCTGCCTTATTTTAAATTCCAAGGATTATTTAAATGTTCTTTCATATTTTTTAAAAATGAGTATATTGTATTCCGTTATCTCTCTCAGGATATTAATAAGGGTTTGGGGGCTATTTTCTCTGTTTTTACCTCCTTTTTCCACTTTGCTTTGGTCTCTGGCTTTCAGATTACCGTATTTTATCGACTTTGAGAACCTTCGATGCTGGTGCTCTTAATCTTACGAGAAAGTGTCCACGAAATTATTTTGCATGGCCGTATCACGGCTGCCTCCTGACTGACCATGATTTTGCAATACTATTGATTTGTAAGGCGGATTTCAGAGATGTTCATTCGGACACATGCATCTTAGGATCAATGAAACAGGGTAAATGCTTCTCAAGTTATCTTGGGATTCTTGCCTATACTGTTTATAGTTTAAGAGTGGTGCACCAAAAATCTGTTTATAGTCTGCTCTGCATGGTGCTGGTGGTAGTAGGTGAGTGGAGGGCTTTACTGACAGTGGAATTAATTGTAAGATGATTCAGCTCGGCTGTTCTTTTTTTTTTTCATTTTTTTGTTTTTTGAGACATAGTCTCACACTGTCACTCAGGCTGGAGTGCAATGGCATGATCTCGGCCCACTGCAACCTCCATCTCCCAGGTTCAAATGATTCTCCTGCCTCAGTCTCCCGAGTAGCTGGGATTACAGGTGCCCGCCACCATGCCCAGCTAATTTTTGTATTTTTTGTAGAGATGGGGTTTCACCATCTTGGCCAGGCTGGTCTCGAACTCCTGACCTCATGATCCACGCCTCCCCCGCCCGGCCCCTTGGCCTCCCAAAGTGCTGGGATTACAGGCGTGAGCCATGGCGCCCAGCCTGTTTGTTTGTTTTTTTAAGAAACATGGTCTTGATATGTTGCCCAGGCTGAAGTGCAGTGGCATGATCATGGCTCATGGCTACCTCGAACTCCTGGACTCAAATGATCCTCCCACTTTAGCATCCCAAGTAGCTAGGACTACAGGTGTGCACTACTACACCTGGCTGATTTAAACATTTTTTGTAGGGATGGGGTCTCACTATGTTGCCCTGGCTGGTTGTGAACTTCTGGCCTCAAGTGATCCTCTTGCCTTGACCTCTCAGTACATGGAGATTACAGGTGTGAGCCACTATGTCTGGCCCAGCTTGACAGTTTTGTTAAGAAACCCTCTGATGATGACTTTCTCATGAACTTGTTGGATTCCCAAGAGAAGAGTTTTTGAATCTTCTGCCTGGAGGATTTAAGCTTGGCTGTCTGCCTTCTGAGCGTCACGATGGGAAGGAAGGCTGGGAATCAGATGCTCAGCATGCAGCTTTGACTTCGTCCCTTTCTTCCATACAGTACTCCTGCCCTTATCTCTGCCTGGTGTTCCCCAGCCCAGAGAGGCTTGATTTTACCTCTCCAGAGGGAAAAAACCCTCCAGGCTCCTGCCCTTTGTGGAGCTGGGAAAGAAAGCTGGTGGAGTTAACTGCTTCTCAAACAGACTTTTCAGTCAAACCTTCTGTTTTCTGCCCCATCTTTTTCTCTGCTTCCAAAGGAGCTGGGTGTTGCTGCCTCCTGAGCCTTTGAAGTTCAGGATGTGATTCAGGTTGTGTCTCAGCTTTACCTATGGTTGGTTCAGGTTTGCTTAAGTTAGTTACTTCGCCTTCATTTTCCAGCTTTCAAAATGTTTTTTTGGCTGGGCATAGTGGCTCACACCTGTAATCTCAGCACTTTGGGAGGCCAAGGCTGGTGGATCACTTGAGGTAAGGAGTTCAAGACCAGCCTGGCCAACATGGTGAAACCCCGTCTCTATTAAAAATACAAAAATTAGCCGGGCGTGGTGGTGCACACCTGTAATCCCAGCTGCCTGGGAGGCTGACTCAGGAGAATTGCCTGAACCTGGGAGGCAGAGGTTGCAGTGAGCTGAGACCGTGCCACTGCACTCTAGCCTGGCAACAGAGTGAGATTCTGTCTCAAAAGAAAGGAAAGTATTTTTCTGTCCACCCATTCTCTTTGTTAAAAATCACATTACAGGGAGGGGAACATCACACACCGGGGCCTGTTGGGGGGTGGGGGGCTAGGGGAGGGATAGCATTAGGAGAAATACCTAATGTAGGTGACGGGTTGATGGGCTAAAATGATCCTCCCACCTTGGCCTCCCAAAGTGCTAGAATCATAGGCATTTATTAAAAATATATTTTCTACATTGATTTGAAATGCAACTTTATTTGGATCTGTTTTGGAGCAAAGACCATAAGCCTTCCAGTGCTTCACCCTCTCCCTTAATGCTAGGTGAGTGCATCTTTCTTTCTGGGTCTCTGCTTCTTGCTCTGTAAGTGATGTTAGGGAACTGCATTATTCTTGCTGTTGCTAAGCTCTGCAGCCACATATGCTCTTATTTGTTAATTTGACCAACATGTTTGGGTCCTCTGCAGTGTCTGTGTTTGTGCTAAACACTGGGGATACAAAAAACAAGGCAAGCCCCCTGCAGTAGTCACTGTAGGAAGCCAATGACACGTTAGTCTAGGAGTGATTCTTCTGTCCTAGGATGGGTCTCTTTCATGCAGGATTATAGAGCGTTCTGGAGGACATTGTGCAAAATGTTAATGATGGTTGTTTCTGGGGGTGTGGTCTCAGTTGAATTTTGATCTCTGCTTTATTCCTTTCTGTATTGCTTATATTTTTGGCAAGCATACACTTTTTTTTTTTAGCATGATTGTTTTGTTTTTAACAGACCTCAGTTTCACAGAATTGGTTTAGTTGTAATCCTTGGTTCATAACGCTCTCTGGGGTTCCACAGTACCTTTAGGAAAAGAAAACAGCAAGAAGCAATCTACAGAGGTTAGGGAGGATTCCAAGAGTGACCAGAGGGTGTTCCTTAGGTAAGACGCATCAGAGAGCCAGAGCAGTCAGGCACCCCTGCTGCTGTGAGGTGCCTGTGTGAGGGTGCAAGGTACAGCTGCCTGAAACCATGTGGCCTTTGGGGAATTGTGAGGAATTCAGCTTGCCAGAAGCTGAGGTTATAAGCAGGAGTGACCATGTGTTACCTGGTATACACAGAGAACACTAGAAATGAATAATTTTAAGACTGTGAGAATTTGCACAGCTGAGGATCTCATATACCCATTTAAGCCCATCCTTTGGGGCACTTTCTCACAAATGGAGGATTAGATATTCTTTCTATTAAAAAGTGTAACTGTATATTAGTACAACAGAAATAAAGACTCTCTAAGCTGAAGAATCCCTAAGTGAAAGAAAAAATTATAAATACACGCACCTATACACAAATTATTAACGCAATGATAGCTTTTACAAAAATTGCCTTTTGTCCAGCATCATCAGTTTCTTCCTCTCTGCTCCATTCCTCCGGAGGGCATGCTGACATGCCGTTGGCTCTTCTTTGATCTCTGTGCCTATCTAGATACCACTTGATTTCTCTGCTCTCCCTCCCAGAGAGAGGGTGTCTTGCTGTCTGTTTGCTTTTCCACATTTCCTTCTCTCCTGAGTCTTCTTCAGTCAGGCTTTCAGCTGAAACTGTCTTCACAATGAAGACCTCCACCCTGCCAAGTCCCATGGTCCATCTGCTAGCCTCTTTATTGAGTCTTGCAGTGACATTTGGCATGACTGACCACTCCTTCCTTTTGGAAGCATTTTTTTGGAGCTTTCATTTCATTCCATTCCATTCCATTCTATTTCATCTCATCCCATCCCATTCCATGCCATCCCATCCCATTCCATGCCATCCCATCCCATTCCATGCCATTCCATCCCATTCCATGCCATTTCATGGCATCCCATGCTTCTGGTTGTCCTGCTACCTCACCAGCTGCTCCTGGTCAGTATCCCCCCTCAATGTCTGTCCTCTCAATGTTGGAATATTCCAAAACCCAACTCTAGATCCCCTTCTCTTTTCCCCATTTTCTCCCTGTGTGATCCTACCTGCACTCTCAGCTTTCATGACCATCTTTCTATTGAAGACTTCTGATAGCCTAATTTCCCCCTGGATCTCCAGAGTCCTAAATCCATCTGCCTGCTTGACATCACTTAGAGGTGTATCAGGCATCTCAGGCTTGTGTGGCCAACACAGAACTCTTGTTTCTCTGTCTCCTCATGGCTGCTTCTCCTGTCTTTTCTGTCTCAGTAAATGGCACCATCATCTACCCACTCTCTGGGCCTCAAACAATCATTCTTCATGCTTTTCTTCCTTTTGCTCCTTACAAAATGTATGGAGCAAGTCCTGGGAGATTTGTTTTGAAAATGTATTCCAAACCTGACCCTTCTCCCCATTTGTACCACTCGAGTCCTACTCTATACCGTTGTCCTCTCTTAGTGGGGCTACTCCGAAAGTCTCCTAACTGGTCCTACTGCTTTTCCTTTTATCCCCTCCAATCATTTCTCTGAAAAGTAGAGTGGCCAGTGATTCTGAAATGTTAATCTAAAGGCCTCAGATTACCACTAGAGTGAATCCAAACCCCTTCTGAAGCCCCATGAAACTCATGCTTAGACACTGCCTACCTCACTGTATTAGTCCTTTGTCATACTTCCATAAAGAAATACCTGAGACTGAGTAATTTATAAAGAAAAGAGGTTGAATTGACTCAGGGTTCCGCAGGCTGTACAGGAAGCACGGTGGCATCAGCTTCTGGGGAGCCCTCAGGGGACTTACATTCATGGCAGAAAGTGAAGGAGGAGCAAGGCATCTCACATGGCAGGAACAGGAGCATGCGTGGGGGAGAGAGGGAGGGACCCCACGCTCGTAAACAACCACATCTCACTATCATGAGAACAGCAGCACCAAGGGAGAGATCCATCCCCATGATCTAATCACCTCCCATCAGGCCCCTCCTCCAACACTGGGGATTACAATTTAACATGAGATTTGGGCGGGGAACACAGATCCAAACCATATCACTCACAGATGGCATTTTGTACGTTTCTACATTTTCTGCCACTCAAACACAACAAACTTCCATCCATCCTTGATGCTTGGTGTTTGCTGTTCCCTCTGCCTAAAGTGCATTTCCCCAGACCTTTGTGTGGCTGGCTCCTTATCATTCCGGCTGGTTACCACATCCTTGAAAAGGCCTCCCTAGAGTCACTTACATCCTCTGCATTGCACAGTGTTTTAAAAAATTCTCAGAATAGAATTTATTCCTACTGGATATTTCTGTTCCTCTTCATGTGTGTCTTCCTGATCAGAACAAAAGCTCTGAGAGAGCCAAAGCCTTGTCTGACTTGCTCACGGCCTCTATCTTTGACACCTAGGACGGTGCCTGCACTCAATAAATGTGTGTTGAATGAGAATATGTTATCTTGTTACACCTTTGTAACAACTCTGCAATGGAGATAGTCTCATCCTCAGTTCGTAGGTGGGAAAACAACAGCAAAGAAACTAATTAGTTTGCCCAAGGTCAAACAGCTCTGAAGAGTGTAAGTTTTGAGCTTTTGATTTTAATCTCCCACAATACTGCCTTCAGAATCCATTCCCCTGGACTCAAGAACTTATTTTATAAGATGGGGAGGAACCCCTAAAATATCTATAAGCAGATGAGTTAACTTTTTATACCTGCTGGAAACTAGGGTTACTAAAGGTGTTAAAAACATTTTTATCAGCAGAGAAGATCAGGTTTAAACAAAGTTATTTCTTCTCTCCTTTTTTAAACTTATAATTAACACATAGTGCTATTTCTATTAGAACCTGTAGCTTGAGCACTGATCCTAGTCTGTAGCATGCAGAGCTCTAGGAGGGAAGTCTGACAGGCTTGTTCCATGTTGCCCTGGCTTGTTACCTAAAGTCCCAGAATCTTGGGTGGCTGCCCCTAACTTCTCCATGACAGATGCATGAATTAATTTGCTCATGCAGAGCCTGCTAAGCTTTTCAGAACAGGGGAGTATTCATTTGAACCTATAAATTACTAGGTGTGTCTTTCCCCCTCACCCTTGAGAGCCCAAGCTCTTCAGGGACTGCATTCTAAGTATGTCACAAAATCCTTGAACCTCGTGGCCCCCATAGGGTTGCCAAGGGTCTGCAGTGAGCCTTGCTGGCTCTTCCGGCCAGGTATGTTTCCTGATCTCTTGGGCCTACCTGGAAAGTGGCCTGAGAAAGGGTGGCTTTTCTGATGAGGAGCTGATCTGGAGGAGAAGTTGATATCAGGACCACGCTTAAGACACCTGCTCCATCAATGCTCTGACTATGTCCCCCCAACCCCTGGTTCTGCCTAGAGAATGGCAGGTAGGGTGGAGGTAGGCAGGAAGGGCCATTGCCCCTGAGAAGGCCAAAGACAACAAACCTTTGTTTCTGTACTGTGATTCTCTGTGAGGTCAGCACTCCTTTGAGTATCAGCTGCCAACTGGAAAAAGACATTTTTTGAGAGAGCCGAGGACAATGTAAGATGGACGGATGGACTGTATATTAGATGTTAGTTTTGTTGGGTGGGTCAGTGGTGTTATGGCTATTTTTTTGTTTGTTTTTGAGACAGGGCCTTGCTCTGTTGCCCAGGCTGGAGGGCAGTGGCACGATCTCGCCTCACTGCAACCTCTGCCTCCGGGGTTCAAGCAGTTCTCATGCCTCAGCCTCCCAAGTAGCTGGGATTACAGGCGTGCACCACCACGCCCGGCTAATTTTTGTATGTTTAGTAGAGATGGGGTTTCACCATGTCGGCCAGGCTGGTCTCAAACTCCTGACCTCAAGTGATCTGCCCACCTTGGCCTCCCAAAACGCTGAGATTTCAGGTGCAGGCCACTGCACCCGGCTGTTATGGCTATTTTTAAAAAGCCCCATCTGTTAGAGATACATATTAAAGTACTTACAGCTGAAATGATGTGATGGCTGAGATCTCCTTTAAGCTCCAGAAGAAATTGTGTGTGTATCTCTGTGGAGGGGGGTCAATAAGTAAGGCAGAAAGTTGATGGTTGTTGAAACTGAATGATGGAGGCAGGGGGATTCTTCATACTAGTCTCTGCTTAATAAGCTTAAAAAGTCCTCAATGAAATGGCTTTTATAAACCATCATTATTATTTATGGGTTCTGCCTGGTGTTGGGTTTATAAACTGCCTGTTTTAGTTGCCTTATAGAACTTAGTGCTGCAGTGGGTATTAAGGGGTTTACATGGAGGAAGTGTCAGCCAAGATCCTAAAGGTTGTGTACTCTTCCGCACAGCGCTCATAATTAAGGGCTTAAAGATAGCCAGGTGCCGTGGCTCACGCCTGTAATCCCAGCACTTTGGGAGGCTGAGGCAGGTGGATCATCTGAGGTCAGGAGTTCAAGACCAGCCAGGACAACATAGTAAAACCCTGTCTCTACTAAAAATACAAAAAATTTTCCAGGTGTGGTGGTGTGCGCCTGTAATCCCAGCTACTCCGGAGGCTGAGCCAGGAGTATTGCTTGAACCTGGGAGGTGGAGGTTGCAGTGAGCCAAGATCACACCATTGCACTCCAGCCTGGGCGACAGAGCGAGACTCCGTCTCAAACAATGACAACAACAACAACAAAATAATTTACGGATCACAAGTTTCCCATGTAGGTAGATGGTATGTACTATACTGATTGAGCTGTCTATTTGAGTAAAGTTTCAACTCTTTGGTGCAAACCTTTCTAAAAAGATAGCCCTCTTTTTGATCATCATAAATAGATGCTACTTACCCTAACTGAAACTTTGTTGGACAGTTCGTGGAACTACCCAGGTTTGGGAGGCCATGGCATAGACCTTGGTCTGTACTG
Source organism: Homo sapiens (assembly GCF_000001405.40). NCBI lineage: Eukaryota > Metazoa > Chordata > Mammalia > Primates > Hominidae > Homo > Homo sapiens. Next base: position 4,679,980 of record NC_000006.12, on the reverse strand, counting down.
CCGATGAGAGCCGTAGATGCTCAGGGAGGTATGTGTCTAGGAGGTGCCAACACTAAGTGCTTAGCATGCAGCTGGCGCTCAACGAGAGCATCGTGACTGCTTTACCTGAGGAGTGCCCTAATCAGAATTACCCTTCGAGACTGGTTTTTCTTGTACAAGAAAGAAGTTGGCAATGGCTTGAAGGTATAGGCAGGATAGAAGATCACAGGTTTTCCTTGGCCTGGGAAGAATTGCTAATGGAGTCTCCCTTACAAGAATGGCCTAGGCAAGGCACATTATGCTAGGGGCTTTGAGTGCCTTTTTGTCTCTGGAGTGGGGGTCTCCAGGCAGGAAAAGGACAATTGGTTTCCAGCTCTGGGAGATAGGCCTGGCTTCCTCTCGTCTCTGGGGGCTGCTGGGTACTTGAGAGGGGAGATTATAGGGTTCTCAACCTTGGCACTATCGACCTTTGAGGCCAGACCCTTTTTGCGGCGGGACTGTCCTGTGCATTGCAGCATGCTCATTAGCATCGCTGGCCGCCACCTGCTAGATACCAGGAACAACCCCTGCCCAGCTGTGGCAACCAAAAATGTCTCCAGCCATTGCCAAATATCTTTTGGGGAGCAAAATCACTCCTAATTGAGGGGCACTGTATTCACAGGAGAGGTCCACCTCCAGGCCTGCCAAGGTCTGAAACCAGCATGAAGCAGCAGGCCCCCTTTCCCCAGTAAACCCAAGAACCACCCCCCTCAGTTTCAGGCCCCACGTAGGGGAAGCAGAGGCCTGTTTTCACATCAGCTCCCTCCCAGACTTGCAGAAACAACATCTGCCTGAGTGGGCCATGTGTTACCCTCGACCAGGGTGGGGCCTCCTGGGGCCACACCTGGGAGCCCCACACATTCCCTGCTGCTGCACATGCCTCCATGCTGTGTCTGTCACCTGCTGGTGATGAAGCTTTGGCTCTGTCTGCTAAGGTGAAGAGTAGACAGTGCCTTGAGATAGGTGAGCCCAGCTGGACTCTCCAGGCCTAACTCACAGCATGTTTTGGCACTGAAGAGTACCTGGTTGTATTAATCCAGTTTCACACTACTATAAAGATACTACCTGAGACTGGGTAATTTATAAAGGAAAGAAGCTTAATTTATTCACGGTTCCACATGGCTTGGGAGGCCCCAGGAAAGTTACAATTATGGCAGAAGGCAAAGGAGAAGCAAGCACCTTCTTCACAGGGTGGCAGGAGAGAGAGAGAGCAAGAGAGGAAGTGCCAAACACTTTTAAACCATCAGATCTCGTGAGAACTCACTCACTATCACGAGAACAGCATGAGAGAAACCGCCCCCATGATACTATCACCTCCCTCCAGGTCCCTCCCTCAACAAGCAGGGATCACAATTCGGATTACAATCCAAGATGAGATTAGTTCCACACAGAGCCCAAACCATATCACTGGTGTCAGAGCCTTGAGGCCTTGGAGGGAAGGACTGGCCATGTGAAGGCTTGCACTGTGCGTTTTGGGGACAGGACCCCATTATTGGCTTCCAGAATTAGGCCAAAAGATGCCCCAATTACAAATACATATTTGATTAATCTACCAACTCATTAGCAATTTGTATGGGCCCTAGGAGATATATTAGAAATTGGGCTAGCCTGGGCAACATGTGAGACCCTGTCTCTACAAAAAATTAAAAAAAAATTAGCTGGGCATGGTGGCATGTGCCCAGTTTCTTGGGAGGCTGAGGTGAGAGGATCACTTGAGCCTAAGAGGTTAAGGCTGCAGCAGTGAGGCAGTAAAGCTATGATTGCGCCATGGCACTCCAGCCTGGGTGACAGAGCGAGACCCCACCTCTTTTTAAGAAAAACAAACAACAAAAAAATTGGGGTTGTATTTTTAAAGCCAGAAAGAATAAAATACGAACATTAGCTTCCTTGGCTGTGATTGAACTCTTTCTAAGGTAAAATGTAGATGCTGGGAAACGCCAGTGAACTAGTGATTCTTGTTGGTCGGGTTTGGTTGATAGCAGATTTACTTTGTTTTTCTCTGGCAAGAATGAGGATTCCAAACAACTTGTTTCCTTGGGTTCTAGATGGAAGTGCCTGGAGCCTGCAGACAGGGTCTCTCCACCCCAGCTGCTGGTCCAACCTGCCTCGCAGGGCGTGACATGGCTGTTGTCCTCACTGCCTTGTACTCTGCCTCACCAGTCCCAGTGAGTACAGTGAACCAGTGCCTCCTCCATTCCTGTCTTCCCCCTTCCCACGTGCCCACTCAGTTGAGGTCATTTTCTGCACAAACGTTGTGCTGTGTGTATTTTCTTATGACATGCATGGGAGGTAACCTACGGGCTACCTGGACTAGCCTGCCGGACCAGGCTGTGAAGGCTGAATTAAGCTTCATAGAGCCGATTGTGTGGAGTCAAGGATTTGGGTTGTCATTACCCCATGAAGCCAGGAAGCAAGATCAGAGGAACTGGCTCATGTTGGGGGTGTTGGGTAATGTGGTGGTTCTAAAGCATTTCCACAGACTCTTTGGCACTTCTCCCTTAACAGGTGAATTCTAATCTCATCCCTTTGAATATGGGCCAGTGCTAGTGCCTCCCTTTGCATAACAGCGTGTGGCAGAGTGATGGTGCATGACTTCTGAAAGCTAGGCCACACAAGGCGACATGGTTTCCACCTGGCTGTCTGTGTCCCGCTTACTTCCCATGTGTCTCTGCATGTCTGTCTATCTCCCCCTTTCTCTGGCTTCCAGCTGCCATGGACAGGCCCGTATGGGTGTTCCAGGTAAGGCCCTGGATAAGGCCCTGCTGGGGCCAGCGCCCCCACCTTCCAGGTGAGTGAGCCTGTTTGCAGGTATTTTCAGCCCCAGTCTTCCACCTGCTCCAGCGGATATCCAGTGGGGTTGGGATGAGCTGTTCTTGCTGAGATCTGTCCAGATTTCAGATTTGGGAGCAATATAAATGCCATTGTTGTTTTTTATTTTTGAATATTTTTAGAGACAGGGCCTTGCTCTGCCCCCCTGGCTGGAGTGCAGTGGTATGATTATAGTTCACTGTAGCCTCTAACTCCTAGGCTTAAGTGATCCTCTCGCCTCAGTCTCCTGAGTAGCTGGGACTATAGCCATGCGTCACCATGCCCACATAATTTTTAAATTTCTTGTAGAGGTGAGGTCTTGCTATGTTGCCCAGGCTGGTCTCAAACTCTCAACCTCAAGGGTCCTCCTGCCTCAGTCTCCCAAAATGCTGGGACTAAGTTGTGAGCCACTGCGCCACACCACCATTGTTGTTTTAAGGCACTTAGTTTTGGGATAGTTTGCTATGTAGCAACAGATAACTGGAATAGATAACAGTAACATCAGAAAAGATGAACAGCTACCATGAATTGAGCCTTTACTGTGTACTCAGACCCTGCACTAAGCATTTTATACAGATCATCTCATTTTACCCTTGTGGCAACTCTGTAACATAAGGTATGTCTTTCACCCCGTCTTTGAAACAAGGCCCAGAGAGACTGAGTAACCTCAGGGTGGCTGATGAGTAGCTGGAGTCAAGATTCAAACCCAGAACCTGTGTTCTACGTAATACAGAGTGACCAGCTGTGAGTGTTGGTGGAGGGGTTTTCCTGGGGCTGCCGACTGAGAGGCTGCAAAGGTGTCCCCACGTAACTGCTTCAAGCTGCCTGGTGGTACCCACTGCCTTTTAGGTGACAGCAGCTCAGCCTCACTTGCCGCCTCCTGCCCTGCCCAGATGCTCTGGCTCTCTCCGAGCAGCTCCCTCAACCTTCGGTCGGCACAGCAGCGCTTCTCAAAGTGAGGCCCTGTGCCACCTCCATCAGAATCCCCTGGGAAGCTGGCTAAAAATGCAGATTCCATGATCCCTCCCCAGACTTACTGAAAGAGCATCTCCGGAGATGGGACCATGGAAGCAGCATTTGTTACAAGTGCCGGTGGGATTCTCATGCCTGAGGAATCTTTAGACCCATGGTTTGGGACAAATGCGAACTCCAAGGAGATGCAGAGGGGAAGCAGAGGAGCCTCAGGCTCCTCCTCCAACCCCCCCCCCCCCCCACCTCCCCCTCCGCATCCGTCACTTTCAGAGAGGTGACTACAGAGGCTGAAAACTAGCCAACTCCCTATGTGTCAATGAATGACAGATTTTGCTCCTCTTTTTATAATGGGCAGAAACAACACAATTTGTGAGAGCTCTTTTCCGAGCTTTTTCTGAAGTGCTGGTGGATATGCAGAGTCATTCCCATGAAACTTCATAAGTGCTTCCAATGTACTGGAATTTTTTGTTCTTGATTCTGACATCTTTATCAGCCCTGCCTAACATTACATGGCCTTCAAGACAAGGGAAAAATAACCTTAACACTACCTTATCCCACCGAATTTGTGCAGAACAATTGCCACAGCTGAGAATCAAGTGACAGTGCTCCCTAAGTACAGTATTTTACAATGAAAAGCCTTTGATAGCCACGGACACTCCTAATGGTTTCCCAGAGGGAGACACGGAGGGGGACAACACTGCCAGATGCGATTCCTTTGGTCCTGATGGCATGGGAGGAAACCATATGCATAACTTCTACTCTGCAACACTCTTTTATCATGGTGTGTCCATAGCATCTTTCTCTTTGTAATTCAAGCCATTAGTACAGAGGGATTCAGCATCTGTGGCCGTGGGGACACTGTTGGCAGCTTGCCAGAGATGCAAAGAAGCCACACACAGAGCCCCTCAGTTACTGTACTGCCGGTGCTGCAGATGGGAAAGGGGTGTGAAGGTGGGAAGATGGCCCCTGTCCGGAAGCTGTTTGCAGTCTACTGGGAGGGATAATGGGTGTTCACACAAACACGGACAATGCAAGGGTACTATGGGAAAAAGCCATCCATCTGCGGTAAACAAAGGGCCCTAGGATCTCAGAGGAATGACATGAGAGTTGACGGGTCCTCAGGGAAGGCTCGATGGAGCGCAGGTCTTGGGTAGCCTTTGAAGGGTAGGCAGACTTTGGTCCTCTGGGTGGACTGGAGGGAGGTGACCCATGGCCTGCAAAGGATGGTTCTCATGCTCAGTGCTGACTCTGCACTCACTCCATCCTGAGAATGATGCCTCCTGGAATTCTGCACCCTGGGGCCTCTTTCAGTTGACTCTTGTTTGAGCCCTGCGGGAGCCACAGGTTTATGGGGAAGAGACACATTGGAATTTGCATCTTCCTTCCTGGGAGAATTGTTGTGATGCCCTTGGTTGTGGGGTGGGGAGGATGGAAGCCAGCCTCACACGTACCCCACAGGAGGAGGCTGGCTTGGGATCACTTTGTGGGGTCCTTGCAGCTGTTGGATTGACTAGAGGCCACATGGCAGATTCTTCTGACAAGGGTCATAGATTCCAAAGTGACCACAATTGGTGGCCAAAATTGAACCATCTTTTGATTTTTTTCCCTTTGGAGATGGGGACCATGCTGGGCATTTCTCTTCTTTGGGAAGTTTTTGTCTTCTGCTATTGACACTGTGCAAAGGCCAGATATGGAGTAGATAGGTATGCCCTCTTTTTGAGAATATCACTGTAACCAAGAAATGTTCCAAGAGTGTGTGGAAGCTAGACCCTGGGCTTCAGAGAACAAAGGAGCACTTATTTAGTTCCACAACAGACACCCCCCCCCCCCCCCCGCCCACTGTCTTGGCATCTTCCCTGCATCTTTATAGTGAAGGCATGACCTATGTGGTGGGGACTGAGCCTCAGCACATCCCATCACAACAGCCCAATCATTAGCACCTTTCAGAAGTGATGGAGCAGGTGCAAGAGGAAATCCTCCACAGTGGAGACTTGGTCACTTGGGGTGACCACTGCAAGAGTGAGCCCTGAAGACCTTGGCATCTGGCCTCTGGGAAGCATCACTGATTGGGCACTAAGTCCTTTGCCGAGTTTACCCTGGGACCATGCCTCCCCGGGCTATTCCCTGCCAATGACCTGTCTAGGAGAGCTGGGATTCCTTTGTCAGCTACCTTGGGCTCAAAGACTCCCCAGTGGTTTTGCCAAAGCTCCCTTTGACAGCACGGTAGTTTAGGGCATTTCCACCTAACCTCCTTCTGTCCTTCCCTCCAGGTCAGACTTGCACTGTGGTCTGATGACCCCCTAGCCTTCCTTGGTTCCCTTCTTATTTCCCTTAATGCAGGCATTTCCTTTCTGAAAATCCTTGCGTGTTTAATTCCATCCTGGAGATGGAGGAGCTGAACTAGCATAAATTGCTGTTTCATCTTGCAAAATAGAAAAGGGTTTGAGAGGGTCCAGTCAGGCAGCACTGGTGATGGAATACCTCAAGCAACAATTTGAACATGACCAAAGGGTACACATGGGTAGCCCCAGGCCTCCTGCCAGCCCTATTCAGGAGGGCCCTTATTTTGGCTGCTGGGATATTTCTAATGCCCTGGGGACAGTTGATCAGGGCTTGGAGAACATGGAGAAGCTGACGGTTGTCTAGGGCTAGTGTGAAGGGCCAGATGCCTGTTCCTATAGTGCATTGTTGGGACAGACAGTGTAGTGCATTGTTGAACCTATAGGCACTGGCCCCAGTGGGCAAGAGGTCACTCCACCTTGCTGGCCAGCAGAGACACGGGGTTTACCTACTGGGATTTCTGACCTCATAAGCCTGCTGTGAAGAGGCACAGGGAAGCCTATGGGAAGAGGTGAAGGGATGGCTGAGTCATAAACCATTCTTTTCTCCATTCTTCTTTCTTCTTGTTTCTTTCTCTTTCCTTCTTCCTCAGCTCAGTTTTTTCTCTCTTTTCTTTCTTGCTTTTCCATCATGCAAATCTCAAAGTAAGGCAAGACAGAAAACCTGCTCCCATATTTTCCTTATTAAAATCACACGAGTGGGCTGGTGGTCAAAGGTTGACCTTCTGAGCTCCTCTCCCTGAGGTTTCTAGGGGACATTTCTGTGCTGCAGCGGGTTAAGGGAGGACTAGCTTCCGTTGGCATTGGGTAGATGGGGGAATTTCCACTGTGAGAGCTAAAATATGCTGATATCTAGTTTACACCATGTGGACTGGAAAGTCATGTGAATTGCAAGAGGCAAATAGTTCTGATGCTTTTGTGTTGCCTTGGGTGAATACCAAGTGGTTTCTGCATTAAAAAAAAATGCCTGGGAGAATTGGGCCAATTACTTGCTATAGACAGAGGGAAAAGTCCTTTTTGCTAATTTGAGACTATTAAAGTACAATCTGGGCACTGAGTTTCAAATTCACTGCCAAAAAATATAGGTCTTATACCCTCATCCTATTTTCCTATCACCTAACTTTGTCTTGGCCATCAAAGAGCGTGATCGCTTCGGCTCCAGAGCTCCCAAGATTGATGCTGTGCCCTGCACACTGGTACATTTTAATATAACAACTCTAAGCTGGAGCACAGGTACAGATGCAAGAAGGGTGGGCAGAGAGAATGTTTTATGTTCTTTGGCACAAGTTGAAGTTACCAAATCTCTGCAGGAAGAGATTGGGGTGCGAGGAAATACTTGAAGAAGAAGTAAAACAAAACAAAACAAAAACCCAGGGAATTTAATGTGGAGTTCTACTAATATTCAATACTTCTCATTTTTCTCCACTTTTTCATCAGTCAGACACTTTTTAAATCAATTGGAGGATTCTTTTCCTTTTCTCACTCTGCTTTTTTTTTTGTTTGTTTGTTTTATTCCACCCTCAGAAATCGTTGCCTCCTGCAATGGTAACTTCTTTTAGTAACTCTCCCATCCTTAACAGGGTCACTCATTCTTAAGCTTTGCCATTAGTCATTGACTTAGAAATAAATTTTGGGAGAAGAGGTGGGGAAAGCCAGATTGCTCAGCTGGTCATATATCTGTGCTGTTTTTCGTCCCTGGCAAGGGGGTGAGGAGTTCCCAGCTGATTTAGAGTGTGATGGTGTCATCGTCAAGGTATATTTTCATTGTGAGAGAAACATGAGAAGCAGAGCAAAGCAGACTTGCTGCGGCCTGGGCATGGTTGTCTGCATGGCCCCCTCAGGAAGGCGTCCGTCGTCCAGGCTGGACATCAACATGCTCCCAGGGCTGAGCGCAGAGTCCCCTCAACAAGGGAACAAACCCACCTTCGGCGGAAAGCCTGGAAGCTCCTCGGGATTGTGTGGCACCTTTCTGGGGTGTTGAGTCTGGAGCCACTTGCCTGGGTTGGCATGCAGGCTCACCACATCCCAGCTGTGTGACAACGGGCAAATGATTTAACCTCTCAGAGCCTCAGTTTCCACATCTGTAAAATGGGAATCATAGTATCAGAGAACTATAGCAAGGATTTAGTGGGTGAATACATTTAACACTGCCTCACACTATATGTCAACTATTATTATGATCGTTATTATTTCTAAAGGAAGAAGTGTGGCCTTCTAGGCCGGGGAGCCTTAGTGGAGTTAGACATCGGAATGGGCCAAATTGGAGAGCCAGAATCACCTGTACAAGCTCTTCTGGAGAAAATAACTTGCAAATCCAGTCTTTAATGACTCACTTTTTTTTTTTTCAGGGTCTTGCTTTGTCGCCCAGGCTGGAGTGTGGTGGCATGATCTCGGCTCACTGCAACCTCCACCTCCCGGGTTCAAATGATTCTCATGCCTCAGCCTCCTGAGTAGCTAGGATTATAGGCATGTGCCACCACACCTAGGTATTTTTTTTTTTTTTTGTATTTTTAGTAGAGACAGTGTTTCACCATGTTGGCCAGGCTGGTCTCAAACTCCTGGCCTCAAGTGATCCAGCTGCCTTGGCCTCCCAAAATGCTGAGATTACAGGTGTGAGCCACCACACCTGGCCCAATGACTCATTTTATGAGTGTCATCTATAGGCAGGAGACACTTCATAAACATGCTCGAATTCTCATAACAACACCAGGTGGAGGACATGATCATCCCCATATCACAGATCAAGAAACTGGGGCTCAGGCTGCCAAGAACCTTGCCCCCAGGCAGTGGAGGAGTGAGAATTGGACTGAAAATTGGCACACCACCTCTTGCCACAGTTCCTAAGTCAGGACTAGCCAGTGCAGTCACTTGGAGGTGCTTAGAGTGACTCAACTCTGGACATACACAATTTTGCACAGGCAAAAGTAATCGAAGGTTACACAATGTCTTTGCTTGGAAAGAGCCTTAAATGTGTTATACACAGTACATCTAAGAATTAATTCACCAGCAAATGAAGTGTGCCTTCTGGAACCCAAGGCAGCCCTTAATAGCCCATAACCAAACCATGCATGAGGCTGGGGTGGTTTAATAATGGGTGGATTAGGGTGGTGAAGATGCAGTATTCTGAGAAATTGAAATTGACATCCCACTTGTGCGCTGGAAATGAATAGACTTGCCACGGGATCTAGAAGGAGAGTCTCTGGGAGTGTAGCATCTCTTCTCTGGTTTCTGGGCAGCTGCTTGGCTGTCACGGCCACTCTTGTGGTTCTCTCTCTATCACCTCCCTCCTCTCTTCCTAGGTCTCTCCTCCCACCTCAATGACCATGTGATTCCTCAGGCTAGATTTCCCTACATGCAGTGTGAGGGCGTCTGTGTGCGGGTGTGTACATGTGTGGATGTGTGTGTGTGTGTAAGAGGAGAGGCTCTGATAGTCCTCCCGACAGGGCTGGAAGCAGGACGCGAGTGTCCATAAAAAGCACACAGACGCCAGATGGCACATGTCCTTTGCATTTGATCAAAATGCCACATGCCGTGTCTTCTTGCCCTATTTCATATTCTTATAGTGAAATTGAGCCATTTGAATGTAAATTTAGGGAGGAAACAATCCTATGTTTGGTGCATTTATCTAATACAGAGATGGGCACAAAGCTGCATTTCTGATGAGTGGGTTCCCTGACTCTCTCTGCAGCTTTCTCCCCTTCTCATTCTAGGCAAGATTTTCATAAAGCCTGGGGCCATAGCTGCATCTGGACTTTGCAATAGCATAGGCCCCAAAGTGTCCTCTTTCTATCATGGAGTTCGGAGTTAGATTTCTCTCATGTACAACCAGAGGAGACCTGTCCAGTACAATATGAAACAGTGGGGAGACACTAATATTGTAAAATTTCATGGGCAACCTTTGCATAGCACATCATAGTTTGTAAATAATGACACTGAACATTTCTAAGGTGCTTACTACGTGCCAGGCACTGTTATGAATCCATTACACAGAACAACCAAAGATGGGTTCTGTGATTATCCCCATTTTACAGAAAGAAAACTGACAGCCAGTGGGCCGGGCGCGGTGGCTCATGCCTGCAATCCCAGCACTCTGGGAGGCCGAGGCGGCGGATCAGGAGGTCAGGAGATCGAGACCATCCTGGCTAACACAGTGAAACCCCGTCTCTACTAAAAATACCAAAAAAATTAGCCAGGCCTGGTGGCGGCCGCCTGTAGTCCCAGCTACTGGGGAGGCTGAGGTGGGAGAATGGCGTGAACCTGGGAGGCGGAGCTTGCAGTGAGCCGAGATCGCACCACTGCACTCCAGCCTGGACGACAGAGCAAGATTCTGTCTCGAAAAGAAAAAAGAAAAAAGAAAACTGACAGCCAATGAAGTTAAGGAAATTGACTAAGTTTCTACAGCTAACAAGAGACAAGAGTCAAAATTAGAATCTAAATGAACTGGCTCTGATCCCTGACTACTCAGCTATGCTGCCTCTTCCACTCAGAGTGAGGACAGTTATCGTGTCCTTTGCAAAATGCTGGAGACTTCACGAAGTAATGAGATTCACCCAAGATCATGCAGCCAGAGAGTGATGGAACCAAGACCCAAGGCAGACCTTTGGATTCCAAAGTCCTGCCTTTTATGTCACACTCCATTGGCTCACTTGGAAAGGGTAATATGCCACCTGTAGTTGTGGAGGGAGACAGCTGTGGAGATGTCCACCAGGCAGGTAGAACGTTGGACTTGGATCTTAGGTGCTTGGTGATGCAGTAGAGAGAAGCTTCTGGGAGTGATTTGTGAGCAAGAGAGAGCAAGTTAGGCCAGAAAGCAGGCAGCTGGGAAGCTGTGACAATGTCTAGGGACAGAGCTTGATGGGGAGCAAGTGACTCAGCACACATGAGATCGGAGGAGAAAGGAAGATTATGGGCAGGAAGGCTCCTGAAGGGTTCTGGAGTGGCAGGCACAGGCAGTCAGAGGGCAGCCACTGGACATGGGGCATCTTGGTCAAAGGGTGACAAAGAAGGTTTCAGAAAGCAAGAGTGGCAGAGAACTGAAAATATAAGGTAGCAAGAAAATGCAGTCATCTGGGTCTTTTTCATGTGAGCTAACCCAAGTCGCCTGACATCCCAGGACTCAGTCTGCCGCTCTGTGAAATGGAGAAGTTGTGTAAGGCCTCTCTCCCCTTTGCATTAGACCTCACTTCCCACGCCTGTCCACAGGGCCTGCTCCGATGCAGCTCTTCATTGTCCCCTGTGGTTTTGTTTTGAGCCTGACTCATGTGCCCTCTCCATTGCTTATTAATGCTTTCCTTAAAAAGAAAAAGAAAGATCAACAATGGTGTTGCCCCTCTGTGAAATTAACAGCCCAGGGAAGAGTCTCGCCTGCCCGAGGGCAACCTTGCGTGGCCAGCGTTGGTGGTCTCTGCTCTCATCTGGCTACCTCATCACTGGGACAAGTATAAAGATTTAATTTCCAGGCCTTCAACATCCAGAAACTTCTGTGCTGGTAGCTACTAGTGACCCTCTAGGGAAATCTTACCAAACTGATTACAAGCTTTACAAACTTTATTTTAAATTGGAAACATATATTTCCCTACGTACAGATGAGTGGCTTTGCATCTGAATGGCTAACAGCCGCCTACTTGATATTCTGGTCTAATGGGTGACTCTGAATTGCATCCTATTCGTGCTTCTCAAAATGTTTTGTGTTTACTGAATACCCATGACTTTTGAATGAGTCCTGGTGAGTTCCTGACAGTGTTTATTTTTAAACTTTATTTCCCCCTTTTTGGGGGCTAGGTTAATCTCAGTTCTAAATTACAAAGATTCTGCCAAGGAAGAGAGGAAGGCTAAATATTTCTTGTACGTATATCCTGCTTCTCAGCGTGTTTGAAAGTGTAAGTGGGGTGCCCTGGTCCACTTGTGGAGTGATTTGCTGGAAGGGGAAATTGCAGCTTTTCTGATGAGGGGAGACAGAGCCTTACTTTTCCAGGTCTGTGGGAAGAGAGAAGAAGGCTAGGGGTGGAGAGATTGGGAGTGCTGACAAGGCCTGTCAGCTGAAAGTTCACTTTCTCACTAACTAGTATCAGTTAGTTAGGGCTGCCAAAACAAATACCACAGACTGGGGGGCTTAATTTATTTCTTCATAATTCTGGAGACTAGAAGTTCAAGATCAAGGTGTAGGCAGGGTTGGTTTCTTCTGAGACCTCTCTCCTTGGCTTAGATGGCATCTTTCCCCTGTGTTCTCACGTGGTCTTCCCTCTGTGTGTGTCTGTCTCTTCCCCTACCTATAAGGAGACCAGTCAGATTGGATCAGAGTCCATTCTAATGACCTTGTTTCAATTTATATAAAGGCTCTCTCTCCAAATATGATTATACTCTGAGGTACTGGGTGTGAGGACTTCAACATATGAATTTTTGGTGTTACATAGTCCAGCCCATAACAACCTTCTACCCATTAGAAATTCAGTGGGGTTAAGGCACTCTTGGAGGGCACCTGTCATTCATGCCAGGGCAGTGGCCCTCATCCTTTTTGGCACCAGGGATCAGTTTTGTGGAAGACAGTTTTTCCAAGGACTGGTGGGAGGGATGATGGGGGAGATGGTTTCGGGATGAAACTGTTCCACGCCAGATCATCAGGCATTAGTTAGATTCACATAAGAAGGACACAAACTAGATCCCTGGCATGCACAGTTCACAGTAGGGTTTGTGCTCCTCTGAAAATCTAATGCTGCTGCTGATCTGATAGGAGGTGGAGCTTAGGCGGGGGTAATGCTCACTCTCCCACCACTCACCTCCTAGTGTGCAGCCCAGCTTCTAACAGGAGGTGGACAGGTAGAGGTCTATGGCCCAGGGGTTGGGGACCCTTGTGCTAGGGTGTGAATTGCTCAGTTTCTTCTTCTCCCAAGCACCTGGCTGAGATCAGCCACAGTGACTTTAGTATTTTTGGAGAGTAGACTTTGGAGAAGGATATTTCCAGGAAAGGCGCCATAACTGGGAATTTGGGAGAGCACGGGAGAAGTGGTCCAGGTTTGACTGAGCTGAGAAGCTGGTATTAGAGTAAGAGTAAGTGGAGGTTAGGGCAGAAAGAAGGAAGAGACGACACCATGCCTAGAATTAGGCTCTCAGAACCTTAGGCTGTTACAACCAGAAGGGATCACTGGAGATCATTCTCCCTGCAGTGTTCCTGGGCTGGAAGTCTTCTCTTCACGGGGCACAGAGAAGACTCATTTCTACAATCTCCATTCACTACATACCACCTGGCAACTGGCAGCTGTCCACAATATTGAATATGGAGAGGACAGGTCAGGAAGGCACATGTGTGGAGGGAAGTATGTTTAAACGGTGGCTAATATAGCAGATATCTCCTATTTGTTATCTGTTCATCAATCTCTCTTCCTTTTTTCTGGCAGCATACCCTATTTCTTTGACACCAGAAGTGGGTATGTGACCCAGGATGGGTAAATAATTTCACTGATGTGACCATGGTCACTGTTCTGAGGGGTACACTCAAAGTGAGCCAAGCTGAGCTAACTTGTGTTTTCCTGCGGTTTTGAAATTGGAGCTGGGAGGAAAGCTCTTCCTCTCTGGTTGGAGAGCTGCTAAAGATGTGAATCAGAGCTGCTCCCATGAACCCACCCCAGTGAGAAAGTGGATTGGCTGGGTGAAGTCCACACAGAAAGAGAAACTGAGGCCAGAGCACAGTGGGTGAACCCCGATGGGGTCTGAGTCCCCAGCTTGGTGGTCTGCGTGGCTGTCTCCTCTTCTGCCTGTCCTTCTCTTGGTTTGCTCCCATGAACTTAGCTTGGATTTCTGCCACTTGGATTTCTGCAACCAGAAGAGTCCTGACTAATTCAGGTAGAGCTTGGGTTGCATTAAATCTTGTGAAGAATATAAGGAGAACGAAAAGGGTTGGAAAGCTATGTCATGAGCAGGAAGAATGAGAAAAGGAATCGGTCCATGACCCAGAGAAAATGGCACAGTGCCATCTGATGATTAAGAAATATCAAAACACCTTAAATTATCTTTGGTCATTACTTCCTGAACAAGAATCTTCTTCAGATTTGAGAGGAGCAAATAAACTTGGCTAAAAGGGAAATTGAAATCCAAGATAAACGAGAAAACAGTAAGAAAAGACCACCAACATTTGAACAAGCTTATTTGAGCCGTGCTGAGTCATCCCAGTGGAGTGTGGACACCTTTCCATGTAATTTGGAGACAAGTTCTACTTTTGGAGGAATTGTGACAAGGGGGTGACATGCTGTAAAAGTGGAATGAGTGTTGGAGCAATTGTGGAAAGGTGTGGGGGATCCAGGGTGGAGGTCTTAGACCCTCCAGGGAAATATCACACCTTGATGTTAGCAAGGTGTTCCACAGAGCCCTTCATGACCAGCTTGTGGCTGAACCTCCCGTCTCAGACAACTAGAAATGGAGAAACAGCAGCATTGCTCAGTGGGTGGGGAGTAATGAGAGGGGGTGACAAGGGAATGAATTTTGTTTTGGCCAGGCTGCTTTCGAGGTGCCTGCAGACCATCTGTGTGTGGCTGTTCAGATGGCAAATCAAACATTTTGATCTAGAGCTCAGAAGAGAAGTTGGGGCTGGTGAGGCAGTTCTGGAGATGGTGAGTAGAAAGGGGGAAGGCGAGTAGAAAGGGAGAAGGCAGATGGCAAATGAAGCCCCCTGGGGATTCCACACATAGAGAAAAGAGAAGAGCAGGTGCAAAGCCAGAACCTTGGGACAGCTTACATTTGAGGTGGAAGAGAGGAGTGTGTGTGGTGTGGCGGGGTCGGGGGGTGGTGTGGAAGAGAAAGAGGGAGAGAGAACGGAGGTTCAGAGACAAGAAGGACTGGGGGTGGCGAAAGGGAAGACAGCCTCCAAAAAAGGAGGCAGTGGTCAAATGCTACAGGATGGCACCGCTAATAAGAAAGATGATCCTTGGTTCTGGATGAGGAGGTCACTGGTGAGCTATGAGAAATCTGTTTCAATTAACAGTGATATAAAAGTTGAATAGAAAGAGGGAGTGGATGATGAAAAATATCTCCTCCTTTCCTTCCTCTCCCAGTCACTGTCTTTCCTCACTTCTCATCTCTTATCTGCCCTTCAGTAGTCTTTCAACAGGGTCCTGCTGTGGCTTTCTTCCTGCGTCCACACCAGCTTCCACGCTGCCCCCAGGCTTCCCTTCCCAAAGCACGGCCTAAGGAAGAACATGCGACCCCAACCCTGGTATTTTAGTTGGAGAAATGCTGACTTCAGAGTTCATGCAAGTGAATCCTGACATCTCAGCAGCCTAGCATCCTGTAACTTCCTCACTCAGGAAAAGTCCCTTGGGAAGTGGGGCTGGGTGGGAGGCGGTGGTGTGCTCCCCGGCACACAATCAACCAAGGATGACGTTGGTGGAGGTTCTGTTGTCTCCATGGTGTGCTCCAAGCTTGCCATGGGTGTTGCCATCCAAACTAGCAGAGAGAGAGTGTGTCCAGGCAGAAACCCCTGGATGGAGGCCCAGTCACGGCCTGAGGAGGTGGGATTCAGGCCAGTCCTGGAAGTGGTGTACATTACATCACTTCTACTACCTTCTGTTGGCCAGCATTGAGTCACATGGTCAGACTTAACTGTGGGAGAAGCTGGGGGAATGCAGTCCAGCTGAGTCACGCGAGGAAAGGAGAAACGTAGCCAGGCTCTGGTAGTCATGACCTTCTAGGCCTTGCAAACTTGAACCCAGTCTGCTTTTGCAGTTCCATCTTCTTGGAGTTTGACCCAACTCCAAGGCACAAGAGAGCATAACTTAACTGCTCTTTAAACATACCACGTACATTCACTTTCCCCCTCCATCAAGAATATCCCTTTTTTTGAGACAGGGTGTCACTCTGTCGCCCAGGCAGGAATGCAGTGGTGCAATCTCAGCTCACTGTAGCCTCTAACTCCTGGGCTCAAGCAATCCTCCCACCTTAGCCTCCCAAATAGTTGGGGCTATAGGCATGAGCCACTGCACCTGGCCTAAGAGTATTCCTCCTCCCAATACCTACTGACTTGTTGAAATTTCACTCATGCTCTAAGCTAACCAGAGGCATGCCACTGGTTTTACAGAGCCTTCCTCTGAGTTGCAATGATTTCCTTCCTTTAGTAATTTGTTAGCTCCAGACCCTGTCACTCCTTGCCTCCTGCTGGTATCGTAGTTACACATGTTCCCGTGGCCTTCTGTAGGCACTGACTGCATACTCATTCAGGGCATGGTTAAGTTATAGTTATCTTGCTCACTCTATAATTATGCTAACTATAGGGCCTACCGTCTCAAATCAGAGCGTGTGGTCTGAGATGTCTTCCTGTACATGCACCAGGATCAAGTGGGTAAAATACTGGATACCGGCAGTCTTCAGGAATATCCCGGAACAGGATCCTGAAGATGCAATGGAAACCCAATGTATATTGTTGTTCTGGAATGGAATTGAATTACTGTTATCACTGAGTAACATACAAAGCAAGAGAAACTTGCAGGGACTTTTCAGATCATGCCTAAGCTGGCTTGGGACATTTCCCAGGGCACTGGTTTACCCGGCTGATTCCTAATACCCCTAGACTGACTTAGCCATACTGAAATGCCCAGACATTTCATTGAAAATGTACAGAAATCAAATACAGCAGAAACGTGATGTTTCATGCTCGGTGTTTTGTGCTTGTGCGTGACCATTTGAATTGGCACTCCTGGGTCCTGAGATGACTTGAAGACGAATGGTTTTATCTCGGGTCTATTATGGTTCGTTCAGCAACTGGAAGCTTGTTTACAGCTCTGTGGCCGAGGGCCTGGGAACTGTCTGTGAATTATTTTGTCAACAAGTCAACCAGGGATGGCTGGCTTTGAGTCTGCTTTTTGCTTATATTTGACCCTCAATTATGAGATGTTCATACAAGGAAGGCATTATTTTAATAATAAAAATGTTTGCAGGCATCTGTTCCATTCATGGCTGAGATTTTATTGGCATTCATTGGAGTTGAAGTGAGAAGGAGCAAGTGAATTGGTTGAGCTGGGGCTTGGCCTCTGAGGGGAAGGGTCTGGGTTGCAGTGTCCTGGGTGGGCTCCTGTCTGGTGGGACGGAAGATCACTCCCCAGCCTGCCACCACGTAGTCCTCCTCCCTGAGCTGTGTGACAGGGAATGTGGTTAAAGGATGAATGAGTCATGTGGAACTGCCACATGGCTGGTCCTCCTTCCCCAGATCCTGAGAGAGCCTGCGGGGAGCTCGGTGGGCATTTGTTAAAGGGCCCTCCATCCAGCCCAACGCCCCAGATTTTCCTTTTCCCACATTCCTGTTAAAATAGCAGATGTTCCAAGACACGCCTCTGTGTGCCTGTGCCCGCTCCGGTTCCTGTCTCTGGAGTGCGTCCCCCAGCCCCCAACCGTCTGACCCAGCTAGAATCCAAAACAGTCTTCAGTCCTCTCCAGTAACACTTCCTTCATTCTTCTTCATGTTGGCCTCACCCATTTATTTATTTATTTACTTGTTTGTTTATTTATTTAGAGACAAAGTCTGGTGCAATCTTGGCTCACTGCAACCTCTGCCTCCCAGGCTCAAGCCATCCTCCCACCTCAGCCCCCACTCCGAGTAGTTGGGACTACAGGCGTGTACTGCAACACCTGGCTAATTTTTGTATTTTTTGTAGAGACGGGGTTTCACCACATTGTCCAGGCTGGCTTCGAACTCCTGAGCTCAGGCAATCCTCCCGCCTCAGCCTCCCAAAGTGCTGGGATTACAGGCGTGACTTGCTGCATCCAGTCTGCACTCAACCAATTATGAACTCAGAGTTCTGGGGTCATTAAAATTTTTTTTTATTTTTGGTAGAGAAGGGATCTCTCTGTTTCCCAGGCTGGAGTGCAGTGGTATGATCATGGCTCACTGTAGCCTCAAACTCCTGGGCTCAAGTGATCCTCCCATCTCAGCCTCCCCAGTAGCTGGGACTATAGGCATAAGCCACCATGCTCAGCTAAGTTTTTAATTTTTTTTTCTTTTAGAGATGGGGTCTAGCTATTTTGCCCAGGCTGGTCTCACATTCCTGCCTCAGCCTCCCAACAGGGAAGACAGGTGCCTATGAGCATGTACAGCTGGGTTCATCTTTAGTACCTGTTGGTGCTGCTGCTGCTGCTTTCTAGACACCAGGCCGGGAGCTTCACCTCTCTCAAGGCAGACTGCCTAACTGAGGGCTTCCCTGGCCTAGGCTGTGAAAAGGGAAGAGTAGTAGCCCCTGCCTCCTGGGACTGCTGGGGGGCTATACAGGTAAACCACGGAAGAGCGCATGCTCAGGGCCTGCATGTGGCTGGGAGCTGGCTCAGGACTCCTGGGAAGAGGTAGCTCACTTTGCACATAAATAGGCAGTGAGAGAGGCGGGGGACGCACGCAAAGCTCAGAGCCCAGGTATGTTGGGAAGGGGCCACGGAGTCATGTGTCGTGGTTGGTGGGAGCCAGGGCTGCTGCTGGTTCTCTCCTGATAGCTGATGGCCATGGTGATGGGGGGCAAAGTCCAAATGGCTTGTCTGGGCAGAAGTCCCTGTGGGGGTCGATCCTGGGCCAGAGGAGGTGGTGCTCATCCTCATAGAGAAGAGCTTTCCTGCAAAGAGAGCTGTCCACAGATGGACCGTGGAGCTCCCTGGCCAGAGAATGGGAGGAAAGCTGAGTCTCCACAGGGTCGGGCCCCGGGAGCACAGTCACCGTCTCCTGGCTTGTCCCCAGCGCTGCTGGAAGGGTTGTACTGTACAGTGGAAGAAGAATGTAAATATCGTTGCACACAGGGATTATTTTTACTGGTAGACGTCATGGTCCTCCTCCTCCTTTAAGAACAAGTGTTGGGTGTGGGGTGGGGGCAGATCAGACCCTGCCTGTTGGAGACAACAGCAGAGACGGAACTGTGGGAGGAAGGGAGGCCAGGACCAGCCAAGAGGGCTGGCAGCTGGCCCCCCCAATCCCTGCTGCGGGGGCGTCCTAGTGAAGTTTCTTGCCTCCTCAGCCCTCTTGTGCCCTCCCGAGGTCTTGCTGCTTTTCAACCATCTCTGGCCTGAGTAAAGGTGGGGCGTGCCCCTGGGGTGGGAGGGGGGCTGCTGGGCTGAGGATCCCACACAGGGTGGACCTTTGTTTTGTGGGGCGGGGTCGGGTACAAGGTGGGCCTGGCATGGAAAAATTAAAGGCCGCCAGAAGGGAGTTGGCAGGGGCCGCCCGTGAGAGCCCATGCCTCTGAAGAGCTATTTATAAATCGGGCACAGGGCATTCAGCTTTCTGGGGCTTCCCTTCCTCCAGGGCATGGTGGGACCAGCGCTCCTGCCCGCTGGGGCTGGGGTTGCCAGGCTCCTCGCCTGGCCATGGGAGCTGCATGGTGTCATAAATGGACTCAAATGCCACAGTTAACTGTGGCTGGTGTCTATTTTATGTCAGAATATGGAGGGGTGGTGGGTGGTGGGCAGGGTGGAAGTGGAGTTTGCTTTTTTCCCCATTTGCTGAGGACATTATTTTGAACAAAAATATGTTCAGAGGGTTGAGAGAGAGCATCAAGTAAAGCTGTTTTATTGACAGTGAAATCATAGCTATTGAGGTTAACTCAGGCTGTTCATAAAAGCAACCCTGAAATAAGTGGCTTAAGAAAACAAGCTGCAGAAAGAAACAAATGAGAGAATTCTGCAGTGACCTTACAGGAAGAAAGTGTGGGCTGGGTGGAGCCCCAGACTGCAAGTGAGAAGCTCTGGGCTTAGTCCCAGTAATCGCTCTTACTGGTAGTGTGACCTTGGGCCAGTCACTTAACCACTAGGCCTCCATTTTTCCCTCTGTAAGTTCACCTAATCATCACTGCACTGCCAGCCTCACTGAGGTGCTATAAGTCTGTCTTGGTAAGCAATATTAAAATATGGGTTTTGCCCCAGCACTGTGGATCATGCCTGTAATGCCAGCACTTTTGAGGCAGTAGGATGGCTTGAGCCCAGGAATTTGAGACCAGCCTGGGCAACATAGCAAGACCCTGTCTCTAAAAAAAAAAAAAAAATTAAGGAATCATGCTGCTATAAAAACACATGCACACGCATGTTTATTGCGGCACTATTCACAATAGCAAAGACTTGGAACCAACCCAAATGTCCAACAATGATAGACTGGATTAAGACAATGTGGTACATATACACCATGGAATACTATGCAGCCATAAAAAATGATGAGTTCATGTCCTTTGTAGGGACATAGATGAAGCTGGAAACCATCATTCTCAGCAAACTATCGCAAGGACAAAAAGCCAAACACTGCATGTTCTCACTCATAGGTGGGAATTGAACAATGAGAACACATGGACACAGGAAGGGGAACATCACACACTGGGACCTGTAGTGGGGTGGGGGGAGGTGGGAGGGATAGCATTAGGAGATATACCTAATGTTAAATGATGAGTTAATGGGTGCAGCACACCAACATGGCACATGTATACATATGTAACAAACCTGCATGTTGTGCACATGTACCCTAAAACTTAAAGTATAATAATAAAAAATGTAGGTTTTATGAAAATCCACTGCTTTTTCTTGCTGGCTATGTGCACAATCTCTGTTCTACTTTTTGAAAACTGGCATCTTGCTTCTCCTGCGTCATGCCTGTCTATGATGCTGTTTCTCTGTCTCCTCAAACAGCCATTTGCTCTTGCCTCATGGCTGACTTTGGGGTGGTGCTGGGGAGGCTGGCTTTCTTAAGAGAAGCATGTGAAAATTTCTGTCTCTCTACCCCTCTGTCTGTCTCCCTGTCTCTCTCCCCACTCTCTTCTCATTCTCTTTGTGGTTTGAAGGATCAAATTCAACAGAAACTTCATCCTTCCAGTTGCTCCAGCCCAAACAAAGCCCTGGATCCCCCAGGACTCCTTCTGTCTTTCTCACCCCAATTCAATCCACGAGTAAATCCTGTAGACTGCATCTTTCAGGTTTGCCCAGAATGTAAGCCCTCCTCCTCCACGGCACCACCTCATCTGAGCCGCCATCATCTCCTGTCCGGATTGCTGCAATAGCCTCCTAAAGGGTCTGCTTCCACCGTCACTCCTTCAGTGCATTTTCAACATAATAGCAGGGTGATCCTGCAAAAATGTAAGCCAGATCCTGCCACTCCTGTGCTGCACTCTCTTGAGTCACAGTCGAGGTCTGGCCCCTCATTTCCTACTCTCCTTCCTGTTACCTGCCCTCTCCCAGTCATACACTCCTCTGTCTCACCCCTGCACATGCCAGTGGTGTTCCCACCTCAGGGCCTTCGCACTTCCTGCTCCCTCTGACTGCGCTGTTCTTCCTCCAGTCAAAAATGGGTCTCTTTCTCTCACCTCCTTCAGGTCTTCCTGAAATGTGAGGTCCACCCTGACCATCCTACTTAAAATGGCATCACCCACTTCCCCTGGGTCTTTCTTGTTTTAGTTTTCTCCGTAACAGTTACCACCATCTATCATACTGTATCTTTTACCTATTTACTGTGTGTCCCTCCCATACTCACCCTAGAACGTAAGTTCCATGGGGCAGCGATTTTTCTTAATTGTGTTCACTGTCCATTCTCCTTTAACATCTCCCCTTATAAGAGGAGTTAGGGAGTAATCCCTCATTTTCTTTTGTCTGGAAGAATTTTTCTTTTGTCCGGAAGAATTTCTTTTGTCTAGATGATCTGGTCCTTGAAAATTTCACCTCACCTGTAAACCCATGGGGGCTTGGTACTTTTTGTGTGTGTGTGAGAATAATTTTTCTTTAATAATTATAGCATTATTCAAGTTTTACCTTTTGGTTTTTTGCTTAAGTCAGTTTTAATAAATTATGTTTTGTAGATATTTATCTAAGTTTTCAAAATTTTTGGCATATTGTTTTTGGTCATATTCTCTTATTATGTATTATGGATACTTTATGTATAACACCCCCCATTTCATTCATAATATTACTTATTGTGACTTCTATCTTCTTGTCTTGACAAATCTTGAAAAGTTTATCTGTATTGTTAGTTTTAGTGGCGAACCAGTTCTTAGCCTTTTGATTCTTCTCCATTGTATTTCTGTTTTCTACTTTGTTGATTTTGGCTCCTATTTTTATGTTCTGAATTCTAATGTCTTTGAGTTTGTTGGTTCCTCCTCACTTCTTAAGACTAACACTTAGCTCAATAATTTTGGGATTTTATTTCATTCTAATATACGTAATTATCTATTAACTTCCCTCAGAGTACACGTTGGCTGCATCCGAGCAATTTTGATATTTGCTATTTTTATTGTCATTCAGTTTTAGATATATTAAATTTTTTATTATGATATTTCTCCTTTAACCCATGTGTTGTTTAGCAGTACTGCTAAATATGTAGTCATTTAAAATGTATACTTTAAACTTCTAATTTAATTTCATTGTGGTCAGAGTTCCTAGTCTGCTTCATATCTAAGTTCAAAATGTGTTGAGACTTTCTTTATGGCTTAGTACATGCTCAAATTTTTGCATATATTCCATGTGTTCTTGAGAAAAATGTATATTCTCTAATACTTGAAGGAACTCAATATATCCATTAGATGTCAGCTGAGTGGGTCATAACTTGAAATTGAGTGGTTCATATTTTTAATATCCTTGCTGATTTTTTTGTCTTCATCTATCAGTAACTGAGAAAGCCATGCTAAATTCACTTAGTTCCAAAAAATTTTACCTAATATACTTGAGGCTATTTTATTTTGTGCATTTATGTTTAAAGTTGTTGTCTCTCTTTTTTTTTTGACAGTCTCGCTCTGTCTCCCAGTCTGGAGTGCGGTGGCATGATCTTGGCTCACTGCAACATCCGCCTCCCAGGTTCAAGTGATTCTCCTGCCTCAACCTCCTGAGTAGCTGGGACTACAGGTGCTCACCACCATGCCTGGCTAATTTTTGTACTTTTTAGTAGAGACAGGGTTTTGCCATGTTGGCCAGGCTGGTCTTGAACTTCTGACTTCAAGCGATCTGCCCATCTTGGCCTCCTAAAATGCTGGGATTACAGGCGTGAGCCACCATACCCGGCTTGTTCTCTTCTTGATGAATTAAAGTTTTACTACTTTGTAGTGATCCTCTGGATCCCTAATAATGTTTCCTGTCTAGGAGCCTGGCTCATATGATACTAATATGCTACACAGCTTTCTTTTTGTTCATATTTGCCTATCATGTCATTTTCCATCCTTTTGCTTTCAACTGTTGTATGTCCTTATGCTTGAGTGTCTCTTATAAATAGCACATATCTGGATTTTAAAAATTCAATTTGTTAATCAAGTGAGTGGTGAATTCCTTCCAAATACATTTATTATTTATAATTATTATATTATATATTATAAATATAATCATTTATAATTATTTAATTATTGATATATTAGACCTGTTTCTACCTTCTTTATCTCAAGTTTTCTTTTTTTATCTTTTCTTGCTTTTGAAAAAAATGAATATTAATTTCCCTCCCTATGAGATAAGAACTTGAGTTTAGCCATCCTCCTTACCCCTGGCCTCTCTTGAAGAGGATGTGTTCGTCAGCTGTCTTGTTGATTCCGCCTCTGAGCTTGTTTTCCTGAGAGAGTACTGTACTGGTTTTTCCTCCAGCTCCACACCGGAGAGTTCCCAGGGGCTCAGGGAGGAGGGGGTGAATGCATGAGGTGCTGAGCTCCCTACTCTGAAAAACAACTCCTAAAATCAGGTCCTGACTTTTGCCCTCTAGAGAGAAGCAGAATTAGGAGAGATAGATGCTCTTAGAATATAATTCTCTAGCCCTGGGATTTGGAGAAGGAGTGAGAAGCCTGCAGCTTTAAAATTTCAACTTATATATTTTTTCAGCTCCTCACCCAGATTGAGTTTCTGCAAGGTCTGATTTTATTCCTGAGGACACGTGAAGCAGAGGCTCGAGGGCAGGAGCAGAACCCTGAGGATTCCTTGCCCATGTTATCGCCTGTAGCTGCTCTTGCTCTAAGCCCAGGCCTCCTCCTACAGCCACACATGTCCATAAAAGCACCCCCTTTTACTCTTGGGTTTCTTAAAATGTCTCAGTGCACATCTTCTAAGTTCCCAGGTTACCTTCAGGAAAGGGCCTATGCTGGAGATTGACAGCCCCTTGAAAGAAATCCTGCAAGTCCCTTTCTCTATGTGGAGCGCTCTCTTTTTGCTGCCACCCTACATTCCAGCCACGCTGGCCTCCCCGAGGAGCTCGGCCTGCACCTTGGAGCTGGTGCCCTTCGGGCTGCCCTCAGCTGCTCCTCTTGTTTTTCTCTCCTTAGCCTTTCCTTTATTCTGCAAAACCACATTCCACTCAACTCACGACTTATCCTGCAGAGCTTTTCCCAAATCATAGCAACTCTTGATCCAATGCACTCCACCTTGACCCAGATTTCTGCTCTATGGAAACCAGGGAGAAAGGTAGAGGGGAGGAGAGAGGCGATGATGAACCTGGTCATGGCGTTTGACAGCCCTTCCCCTCCCCCACAGCATCTATTTCCACTCTGCCCCTCCAGGACAGTCTTATTCACAGCATTCTGTTTCAGGGGAAGAACCATTTTCTTCAAAATCCTGATTTAAGAGCCTTCAGAGTCAGGGACACAGGGCTCAGTGGAAGGCAAGGATGATATTTGGGCTCAAAATGGGAGTTATAAGGGAACGTTGGGAAGAATGATGCTTCCTTGCATCAGCCTGCTTCCCTTGCTCTCTGCCTGGAACACCAGAAATCGGGATGTTCTTCCTACGCAGGGGGATGGAAAATTCACCCTTGGAGGGACTGTAAATTCTCAAGAGAAAACACCTTCAGACATTGACATTTTCCCAAAAGAAAAATCATCTTTCTGCTGCTTTATCATTTTCCGAAGGCAACCACTCAACACGTTCTACCCATGCTTACAGGACAGCCAATTTTAAGGCCCCTATCTTAGTTAAATATGAACAAACAGCTAAGGTGATCACCATGCATCCAAGGACAACTTTCAACATGAGAGGCTGAAAGTGGCATTATCTCTAGAAGGGACACACCTGCAGGGATTGGAGGAAAAGGAATCGAATTACAATAGCGTCCTTAGAGAAGATGAACAATTCGAGAACAAGAAAAAACTCTTTGGAATTACAGATAAGAAATCTGAAACAAAGACTTCAGAAAGAGTTGGAAGACAAAGGCCCTCTCCTAGAATGAAAAGACAAAAAGACAGACAACTATTAGATAAGATGGGAAGGTGTTTTCTGGAGTCCCAATATCTTTCTGGAGTTCTAGGAAAAGAGAATAGAGAAAACAGACAGGAAAAAATTTTAAATAAAGCGTGCATGAAAACTTCCTAGAAAAGGACTTAATTTTCCAGTTTTAATGGGCTTATTATAAGAACCTAATTTAGTGACTAAAAACTTTCAGAGGAATAAAAATGGTCACAAAGAATCAGGCATTAAGATCACATCAGGTTTTTCAGTAACAATGCTGAATTAATTCAAAAAATTGAATATTTCTAAAAATCTGCAGAAAAATTATTTCAGTATCTGTAGAGCTTCTCATTCGATTATAATGAGGGACATGCAAAATGTGTAAGGGTGAACTCATATCTCCTGGGCCTAAACTGCTTCCTAAATTTTAAAAATCAGTTTTATTGGGGTAGGATTTATGTATGCTAAAATTCACTAATTTCTATTTTACAAGTCTACTATTTGATGAGTTTCTCTCTCTCTCTCTCTCTTTTTTTTTTTTTTTTGAGACGGAGTCTCCTCTGTTGCCCAGGCTGGAGTGAAGTGGCACAATCTCAGCTCACTGCAACCTCCGCCTCCCAGGTTGAAGCAGTTCTCATGCCTCAGCCTCCTGAGAAGCTGGGACTACGGGCATACGCCACCACACCTGTGGCTAATTTTTATATTTTTAATGGAGATGGGATTTTGCCATGTTGGCCAGGCTAGTTTCGAACTCCTGACCTCAGGTGATCTGCCCACCTTGGCCTCCCAAAGTTCTGGGATTACAGGCCTGAACCACCGTGCCTGGTCTTTTTTCTCTTTTTTTGAAATTAAAAAGAAAATTTCTGGCCAGGTGTGGTGGCTCAAGCCTGTAATCCCCAGCACTTTGTGAGGCCGAGGTGGGTGGATTGCCTGAGCTCAGGAGTTTGAGACCAGCCTGGGCAACATGGCGAAACCCAGTTTCTACCAAAAATACCAAAAATTAGCCCGGGGTGGTGACATGCACCTATGCTCCAGGTACTCAGGAGTCTGAGGTGGGAGGATCACTTGAGTCTGGGAGGTGGAGGTTGCAGTGAGCCAAGATCATGCCACTCCAACTTGGGTGACAGAGTGAGACCCTATCTAAAAAAATTTTTTTTTAATTTGAATTTTAAAAATAAAATTTAATTCTATTTTGTTAAATTTAATTTAATGTTACCCAGGCTGGTCTCAAACTCCTAGGCTCAGGCGATCCATCTGCTTCAGCCTCCCAGTGTTGGGATTATAGATGTGAGCAACTGTGCCCAGTCTATTTGATGAGTTTTGACTAGTGGTTCTCAACCAGAAGTGATTTCACTCCTCCAGGAGATGTTTCGTAATGTCTACAGACAATTTTGGTGGTCACAACTTGGGAGGGGGTGTGAGTGTGATCCTCGTGTTGGATAGAGGCCAGGGCCACTGCTGAACATCCTGCAGTGCACAGTAAAGTCCTGCAACAAAGAACTATGCTGCCCAGAACATCAGCAGTGCCAAGGCTGAGAATCCCTAGTTTTGAAAATATACAATCATGTATCCACCACTACAATTATGATACAGAATGCTGCTATCACCCGAGAAAATTTCTTGGACTCCTTTTCAAGGGGATTAATTATCCTTTCATTTACTTCCTGAACCCTGACTACCACTGATCTGCTTTCCACCACTATAGTTTTACTTTTTCTAGAAGTTAATATAAATAGAGTCATATAAATAAATCAGCCCTCTGTATCCATGGGTTCTAAATCTATGGATTCAGCCAACCATGGATCAAAAATATTTGGGCAAAAACATTGTGTCTGTACTGAACATGTATAGACTTATTTTTTCTTGCCATTATTCCCTAAACAATACACCATGACAATGATTTTTGTTTACACTGTACTAGGTATTATATGTAATCTAGAGATGATTTAAAGGATATGGGAGGATGTGGGTAAATACTATGCCATTTTATATCTGGGACTTGAGCATCAGAGGATTTTGGTATGCAAGTAAGGTCCCAGATCCATTCCCCACGGACTACATAACTATAGTCTTTTGAGCGTGATCTCTTTTATTGAGCATAATGTTTTTGAGATTCATCCATGTTGGTGCATATACCAGCCATATATTCTTTTTTACTGCTATATATTGTTCCACTCTATGACTGTATCATAGTTTATCCATTCATCTATTGAAGGAAACTTGGGTGGGTTCTTTCCAGTTTGGGGCGATTAATGATAAAGCTGCTATGAACATTTGTGTCTATGACTTTATGTGAACATACATTTTCATTTCCTTTAAATAAATGGATAGGAATGGAATTGTTAGGTCATATAGTAAATATAAGATTAACTTTATAAGAAACTGCCAAGCTTCTTTCCAAAATGGTTGTACCATTTTACATGCATATCAAAATATATGAGAGTTCCAGTTGCTCCATTGCTTGTCAACACTTGGGATTATCAGGTTTTTTAAATTTTAGCTAATTTAATGCATATGTTGTGATATCTCATGGTATTTTTAAATTACTTTTTTTGGAATAATGTGTTGAATATCTTTTCATTTGCTTGTAAACTTTTGTATATCTTCTTTTTTGAAGTGTTTATTCAAGTCTTTCCCCTATTAAAAAAATGGGTTGTTTATATTGTTGAATATAACAATGAATGTAATAGTTGTTACGTAATCTGGATACAATTTTTTTCTCAAATGTACATTTTCAAATATTTTCTCCCATTCTGTGGTTTGCCTTTTTTTGTAAACATTGTCTTCAGAAGAATAGTGGTTTTAATTTTGATAAAGTTCCACATATTAATACTTTCTTTTATGGTTAGTGGTTGTTATGTTCTGTATGTGAGATATTTGTTAGATTGAGATTGGATATGTTTTCTTCTGGATGTTTTATAGTGTTATCTTTTACATTTAAGTCTATGGGTTAACATTTGTGTATGGTTTGAGGTAAGGGTCATAGGATATCTGATTGTTCCAGCACAATTTATTTGAAAATACTGTCTTTGAGCCATTGGCTTACCTTGTCACTTTGGTTGAAAATTAGTTGGGCATGTACATGTGAGTCCACTTCTAGACTCCCTAATCAGTTTTTTTGATCCATGTGTCTGTCTATATACCAATAGCTCATTACCTTGATTATTGTAGCAGTTTAGTAAGATTTAAAATCAGGTAGTGTTAAATCCTCAGACTTTTTTCTTTTCCAAAATTGCACTATTCTAGATGCTTTAAATTTTCATATAAACTTTAGAATCAGTTTGTCAATTTCTACAAAAAAATTCCTTTTTTGAGTCTAAAGATCAGTTTGGAAATAACTGACATTTTATAACTATTGAGTCTTCTTATCCATGAATATTATTTATTTCTCCATTTATTTGAGTCTTTTTATATCTCTCTGCTATGTTTCATGCTTTTCAGCATACACATCTTGATTATATTTTGTTAAGCTTATCATTAGGTATTTCAGGTATTTAATTTTTGTGTGTGCGTGTTGTAAATGTGAAGTTAAAATTTTTTTTTTATTTTCCAATTGTTTGGAAATACTGTTGATATTTAAATATTAACAGTATCTTGCAACTTTGCTAAGCCTTCTTATTAGTTTTAGTAATTCTAGTAGCTTTTTCATATTTCTCTTAAGATTTTCTATATAGACAATCATGTCTACAAATAAATAGTTTTTCTTCTTTTCCAATTTGGATGACTTTATTTGCACTGGCTGTGCCTTCTAGTACAATGTTGAATAGGAGTAGTTGAGAGTGACTATCCTTGCTCTGTTCCTCATCTCGGGGGAAATGTCCTGTCTTTCACCATTAAGTGTGATGTTAGCTGTAGGTTTTTCATAGATTTAAAAAAAAATCAGATTGAGAAAGTTCATTTTTGCTGAGAGTTTTTATCATGAATGAATGTTAAATTTTGCCAAATGCTTTTTCTGTGTCTATTGAGATGATCATAGGGTTTTACTTTTATTTTATTAATATGATGAATTACATTGATTAATTTTCAAATGTTAAACTAATCTTAAATTCCTGAGATAAATCCCACTTGATCATGATATATTATCCTTTTAAAATATTGTTTGATTTGTTTTGCTCATATTTTATTAAGAATTTTTGCCTTTATGTTCATGAAGAATATTAGCTATAGTTTTATTTTCTTTTAATGTCTTTGTTTTTAGTATCAGGGCAATACTGGCCTCATAAAATGGATGGGAAATGTTCCTTGATTCCTATTTTATAAAAATATTTGTATAGGATAGGTATTATTTCTTACTTAGGTATTTGTTAGAATTCATAAGAGAAGCCATCAAGACCTGGATTTATAATTGTGAGAAGATTTTAAATTACAATTGAATTTGTTTAATAGATATAAAGCCTTATCATATTTTATATTTCTGCTTGTGCCAGTTTTGGTAATCTGTATCTTTTGAGCAATGTGACCACTTATGCAATTTTTCAAATTCATTGGCATATACGTGTGTATATTCTTCCCTATATCGTTCTTTTAATATTTGTAGGATCTGTGATGATGTTCTCTCTTTCATTCCTGATTTTGGTAATTTGTGTCTTCTTGCTCAGTCTAGAGTCTTTGTGATTTTATTAATCTTCTCAAAGAGCCAGCCTTTGGTTTCATTGGTTATCTCTATTGTTTGCCATTTTTGGTTTCTTTTTACAGGAGAGGAAATAGTAGTGATAGTTTACCCTTTGTCTCAGTGGTAAACAATATTAGATAACCATAACAATGTTAATACCGACTCAGGAACACATGACTCATGATTATGATGTAACCCCATTTTGGAGTATGAGGAAAATGGAGGAGGAGAAGTAGTTTATGAAAACAATATCCTTATCTTTCTAATAGGAAGTCAATAATACACTAAAATAGATTAATCAACAAGTTGCAGAATAAACGTATCATTTTGAAATGTGAACGTAAATACTGGAAGAAAGAGAGGAAGGAAAGGAAAATGGTAGTATTCAGCAAGAAAATTGGGGAGTTAGGTCAGAAACTTTTTTTTTTTGTATTGAGTATTTGACAAAATATATGAGTGTTATTATGTTGATAAAATAAAAATTAATCTAACACTTCAGTATCAGAATGGGAAAAAGTATGGCTGGAAAACAAGGTTTTCCGAGCCTGGGAGAGGTTACAGACATGATCTCGGGGAATATGCCGTGACTTTGAGTAGTGTGGAAAGCCGCCTTTTATTTTCAGTTAGTTAAAAAAATTCTGCATTTGTTGTATTCTGATGGAATTATTATAAATGTGAAGTTATAAAGCCTGTTGTAATTGAATGAGGAATTGCCACATAAATATGTCCTTAACATCATATTAGATAGTTCTTTACAGTTTTCAAGGAGATTTCATATACATTGCCTTCTTTAAACCTCACTTTAGCTCCGTGAGCCCAGTGTTATTATAGACAGCATCTTCAGTTTGTAGCTGTGTTTCAGCTAAAAGATCTGCTGAGGGTCACACTGGTGGTAAGTACCTGGGGATGGACTACAAACTCATCACTGTCACTAAGAACTCCATAATATACATAGTTGAATCACAAAACAATTTTAAACATGTTGATTTATTTATCTGCTTGTTTTCATAACTATAACCTGATGACTTGAACAGTTGGTAGCAGGATAGAACATATATTGATGTTGCTTTGAATACATTTCAATATCTGTGCAGCAATTACTTGCTGTGTGACCTTGGGAACATTATTTAATTTATCTGAGCCTCTTTTTCTCCACCTGAAAAAGGATATTACTACCTTTCTCATAAGGTTGTTCTTCAGAGTTAACGTAAGTAAAATGCTTATGACAGTACCTAGAAGTTAGTATGGACTCAATAATTGCTTAATATTAGATCATTTTTGTTAACTATACAAATAACTAAGATTATTTGATAATTACTGCCTGCTATCTTTTGTATGAGAACCGCAATACTGCCTCACTATCAAATGATGATATTGAGTTCTCCTAGTGAAATGCTCAGTTAAAAAAGTGACACGTTCATATGTGAACATCAAAGTTAAACTGAAATTACTTTAAAAATTAATTTACTTTTGAAGATCACCTTCCTAGTAATGTGAGTCACTAAGAATCTGAGTACATAGATATAAATCCTGCTTTTGTAAGATAGCATATATGCAGAGAAAAATGTGGATAAGTACATATCAAACAGTTGACAGTGGTTATCTCTAAGGATTGGGATCATGGTAGGGGTGCATTGATCTAATTTATTTATTGTTTTTAGTGCTTTTTTAAAAAATAGAAAGCATATACTGCTTTTATTATCTGAAAAAATATGATTTAAAAATGTTTATGTAAAAAACAAGCCTTACAGAAATCACAGCCTTATCAGAAATGTTTGACATGACTTGCCCCACACCGGCTTCTAGTGAAATGCTCTGAGATCTCCCTGAGGATTGACATCCCGCTGACAGGTCTCTAGTTCTAGGATTTCCAAAGGTACCGATGAACCACTTGTACCATAGAATTTGCATCTGGTTTCCACGTAGGAGGTGTGTTCTGTGGGGCTCCCTGGGCTTGGTAGGCAAAACATTTTAGGAACAGAGAAAATGTGTTGGCTTTAAAGAAGAGATTTCACTGCTGGTCTTTCCAGCTATGACCTGTGACCGGCTGTGGGCATTACTGTAGTCAAAGCCATTTTAGTTAAACATATTTATAAGCAGAGTTAAAAAGGGACTGTGGCTGCTATCTCACACCCCAAGATGACATTCAAGCTTTGCGTTTTCAGTTATTCCTAAAGTTATTTCTAAAACCAATGCTGCACTCAATTTTAGTCTCTCTCTCTCTCCCCTTCCTGCCCATCCGGGGTCTAGCCAAAGCTCCCTTCCTCAACTCCAGCTCCATCTCTCCAGGTTTTCCCTCTGCCCGGTTCTCCCGGGAGCGAGAGGGGGTGGGGACAGGCGGCTTTGGCGTCAACAGCAGCACGAGCTGCGGCTTCCTGCCTCCCCAGGCGGCTTCGGTTCCAAGGGTGCCTGGCTGCCTAGCGTCCCGCAGTGTCCAGGGCTTTCAGACCTCACCTAAGGTCCTAAAGATGTCCTCATTCTCCAGAATGGCACTGCCTCTACCAAGGAGGACACTTTGAAGTGTTGGTCCTGGCTACAGGCGCCCTCTGCTACTGACTGGTACCTGTGAGTCTATATAAAAGCCATAGAGCCAATTCCTCACACCCTCAGCAAATGAAACCTGCCCGTGGGATGCCCTTTGGCTTTTATTTCACGAGTGATCAGAAGCTGGCTACCGCCCTGGTGGCAAGTGTGAGCTTACTGTCACTTACTGTCTGGGCAGCAGTTTATGACATCTGTATGGTTTTAACTCTCAACCTTTACACTCTCTTGAATAACAAACTTGAAAAGAGATGACTCCCGGGAAGAACCTCCCCAATTTTGTTGTTGTTGTTTGTTTGTTTTTCTTCTTTGAGATGGACTCTGACTCTGTTGCCCAGGCTGGAGTGCAGTGGCGTGATCTCGGCTCACTGTAACCTCTGCCTCCTGGGTTCAAGTGATTCTCCCACCTCAGCCTCCCAAGTATCTGGGATTACAGGCACCCGCCATCATGCCCAGCTAATTTTTGTATTTTGTATTTTTAGTAGAGATGGGGTTTTGTCATGTTGGCCAGGCTGGTCTTGAACTCCTGACCTCAGGTGATCCACCTGTCTAGGCCTCCCAATGTGCTGGGATTATAGGGCCAAGAACCGCCTTTCACAGGAATTGAGAACATTTAAAAAGGATGTCATAGGCCATGTTCCGAAGAAAGGGAACCTTATGAGATTATTGATGACAGATTCTGAGGAATTAGCTGAGCTTTCTGATGGGTCATCAGAAATGTGGGTGGGAGACAAAGGCTGTTCCAAAGTGTTCCAGGCCAAGGTCAGAGCAAAACTCGTGCATGTGTTGGGTATCTGGCCCCATTCGAGGTTGCTTTGGCCGGACGTGGTGGCTGACGCCTGTAATCCCAGCACTTTGGGAGGCTGAGGTGGGCAGATCACGAGGTCAGGAGTTAGAGACCAGCCTGGCCAACACAGTGAAACCCCGTCTCTACTAAAGATACAAAAATTAGTTGGGTGTGGTGGTGTGCGCCTGTAGTCCCAGCTACTCGGGAGACTGAGGCAAGAGAATTGCTTGAACCCAGGAGGTGGAGGTTGCAGTAAGCCGAGATTGTGCCACTGCACTCCAGCCTGGGTGACAAAGTGAGACTCTGTCTCAAAAAAAAAAAAAAAAGTAATGATGATAACAATAATCAACTAATGTTTACTGGATACCTGCTATGTGCATGACCTTACTCATTTGGGTCTCACCACAAGCCTAGGCGAAGAAGCCCAAAGCACGTGCCATCCAACATCCCCTAGTCTAGTCCTTATGCTTGCTCTGATGAGATGAGCACAAGGCTGGCTGCAGAGGAGAAAGTTCTTTCCAAGGCTTAAGGTACCCTTTATGTCCTCAGCCTTTATTGAGGGTTGGTGTGAGAAACAGCCCTGTGACAAACATCTCTGAAGGTGTTCTTTATCTGTTATTGACTGCGGTCCATTTCCTTGTCTAGTGGCTTTAAAAGAAAACCATATGTCATAAATTCCTTTGGGAGTTAAAGGTTGTTTCTCTTGATGGTTTTTTGTGCTTCCTTTCATTAGACGGATGTCTTGGTCTAAGGCCTAGAGATTCTGATTCAGTGCGTTTGAGTAGGGTGAGATGACCAGACTTTGAAGATGCCCCCTCCCTTTGAGTCCGAGGCACAGCCAGGGCTAGGAACCCCTCCTGTGGCTCTTGGTCAGCTCCCCCTGTAGTCCCTGATTGGGATCACAGAGCTAAGATTTGTGCTCCTTTTACCTAGGTTTTCTGACAGAATTTTTGCACCCTTTTCATGTCTTGTCTCTTTTCTTGTCTCTTGTCTCTTGCTGTTTTGCTTCCCTTCCCTTAATATTTTTAGAATTCATATATCATTTATTGTAAAATACCTTGTCTGCTTTCAGCATAAAACCAAATGAATGAAAGAATGGGTGTCATTCTCCACCTAAAGTTTCCAACAGGATTTTCCTTAAAACACCTCCTTATTCTTTCTTTCTGTCATTCTTTCACCTACTTTGCTGTTTTTAATTAATTGCTTGACAAAGTAAACATTTATTTACTTTTGAAAGACACTAATGTATTCTAAAGGGAAACTGGCTCCCTCTCAAATGTCTGGAGCCATCATAATTGTGAAGAGACACTGTTCCAGGAGAAGTAGTTCAACCTTGAGATAATGAGAGGGTTGTCTGGAGAGGACCATAATGAGTTCAAAGGAAGGTGCTGGAATAAATGCAGACACAGAGGTTGTTAATGCAATGTAGAGATTGTCTCATCTCATGGCCCTCCCACCCCATTCCACTGATGTCAGTTTAGTTACTTCCCTTGCTTGCGGTATGTCAACATGCAGCAATTATTTTGTTTTTGTTAACAATGATAGGACTTCAGTGCGATGAACTTGGCCTGCATCCCTGAATGCTGCATTTACAACCAGCTTTCCTTGCTTGACAGCAGACTTCATTGAATAAAAAGAGGCAACTCCAAAGGTTATTGCAAGATTACAGCATAGCAGGTCTGGACAAAGGCACTGTGGAATGTGGGAGGATGACTGACTGGGGCCTGGAGGAAGTGACATTGGCTTCAGTGGGGCACTGTAGAGTCACATAGTAATGCACATGTGACCAGCTGCAGGTGTTTGCTTGATCCTATCTTCTACATAAGAAAAAGAACTTTAAAAAAATCATTTAGTGTGACAAAGGCTTCAGTACCATCAGATTATTAAAATTATCCTACTGATGGAATGGTTTTTAAATTAAATTTTGTGTAATGTTGACAAACCTCTATCAATATAGCAGGTTTCATCTGCTGCTAATCAGCATAAGTGACTTACAACTAAGTTAATCAGCCATTTTCATTCCAGAGGTTGATCTTAATCCAACTGTTTATTAATAATTCGAGTGCCCCTCTCTCTGTTTTCTGAAGGAATCGGTTGTTTATACTTTTCAAGTCCCTGCTCCAGGTTAACTTTCTTTTTCTTTTTTTTTTTTGAGATGGAGTCTTACTCTGTAGCCCAGGCTGGAGTGCAGTGGCATGATCTTGGCTCACTGCAACCTCCGCCTCCTGGGTTCAAGCGATTCTCCTGCCTCAGCCTCCCAAGTAGCTGGGATTACAGGCGCATGCCACCACGCTCAGCTAATTTTTGTATTTTTAGTAGAGACAGGGTTTCACTGTGTTAGCCAGGATCCGGGTAAACTTTCACACTAGATGGTATCACTGTCTTTTGGAAATTTACCACTGAACTGGGATGATACACCACGTAGGAAAAAATCATTAGCAATACAAAGCAGTGTAAGTTAGCAGTGCTAACAGGTGGTAGAAACCCAAGTTGTCAGGAATTGAGAAGCAGGCATGACCACATGGGTTGGGGAGAGGAGGGAGTGATTCCCTAGAGATGGCACCTAGTCTATGGGAAAGCCACATCTTTGTATGCTGTAGGAACCCTCTTCTCCAGCCATGGTGGCCATGCATCTGTGGAATTTTCCTTTCCTGCTTACCACCACACCTTTGCCAGTATGATTTTTTCCACCTAAAATGTCTAACCTTTTTGTTCACTTAACACAATTCTCCCCAAGTTTCGAAACTCAGGTTGTGGAGGTCCTTGACTGTGTGGCTTGGAAATGTGCACTTTCTGTTGTTGGAAATCACTACCTACTATTGAATGAGATTGTGAAATGATACACATGAACCCTAGCTGTGTTATAAGAAGAGAATTGTTTCCAGACATGCAATACAATGGGCCTGTGCCTCCTGTTTACTCATTTGTTGTCACAACAGCCCGGTAGTGTGTTGACAGATATGAAGGAACACATCTCACACATGAGCGTGAAAACCCAACCATCAGCTTATGAACTACAAAAGGATTATTATTTATTGTTTTTCTCTTGGACATCTGAGAAGGGGCTAAAGAGTTCACAACCAAACCTGGTTGCATTGTGCTTTGCTTTATTGCACTTTGCAGATAGTACGTTTCTTACAGATTGAAGTTTTGTGGCAACCCTGTGTGGGGCAAGTCTATCAGCATGATTTTTCCAGCAGCCTTTGCTCACTTTGCGTCTCTGTGTCATAGTTTGGCAATTCTCACAACATTTCAAACTTTTCCATCATTATAATATCTGTTCTGGTGATCTGTAATGTTACCATTGTAATTGTTTTGGGGGGCCACGAACTATGCCCATAGAAGATGATGAATGTAATTCACAAATGCTGTGTGTGTTCTGACCCCTCCACCAGCCTGCTGTTCTCCCACCACTGTCCCTTTTCTTGGGCCTTCCTATTCCCTGAGATACAATGATGTTGAAATTAGGCCAATTAATAACCCTACAGTGGCCTCTAAGTGTTCAAGTGAAAGGAAGAGTTTCATGTCTCTTATTTTAAATCAAAAGGTAGAAATGATTAAGCTGAGATAGCTGAAAGCTAGGCTCTTGTGCCCGAGAGTTAGCCAACTTGTGAATGCAAAGAAAAAGTTCTTGAAGGAAATTAAAAGTGCTACTCTAGTGAACACACAGATGATAAGAAAGCAGAACAGCCTTATTGCTGATATGGAGAAAGTTCTAGTGGTCTGGATAGAAAATCAAACCTGTCACCACATTTCTCTGTGCCAAAGCCTAATCCAGGGCAAGGCCCTAACTCTCTTCAATTCTCTGAGGACCAAGAGAGGTGAGGAAGCTGCAGAAGAAAAGTTTGAAGCAACAGAGGTTGGTTCATGAGGTCTAAGGAAAGAAGCCGTATTTGTAATTTAAAGGGCAAGGTGAAGCAGCAAGTGCTAATGGAGAAGCTGCAGCAAGTTATCCAGCAGATTTAACTAAAATTGATGAAGGTGGCTACATTAAATAGAAGATTTTCAATGTAGAAGAAACAGCCATGTATTGGAAGAAGACACCAACTAAGACTTTTATAGCTACAGAGGAGAAATCAATGCCTGGCTTCAAAGCTTCAAGGACAGGCTGACTCTCCTGTTAGGGGATAATGCAGCTGGTGACCTTAAGTTGAAGAAAATGTTTATTTACTATTCTGAAAACCCTAAGGCCCTTAAGAAGTATGCTAAATCTACTCTGCCTGTGCTCTATAAATAGAGCAACAAAGCCCAGATAACCCCTCATCTGTTTACAGCATGTTTTACTGGATATTTTAAGCCCGGTGTTGAGACCCACTGCTAAAAAAATTCCTTTCAAAATATTACTGCTCATTGACAAAGCACCTGGTCACCTAAGAGCTCCGATGATGTACAAGGAGAATAATGTTTTCATGCCTCCTAACATAACATCCATTCTGCAGCCCGTAGATCAAGGAGTATTTTCCATTTTCAAGTCTTATTATTTAAGAAATACATTTCATAAGGCTACAGGTGCCATGGATGTGGCACTGGTTCCACTGATGGATGTGGGCAAAGTAAACTGAAAACCTTCTGTGGAGGATTCACCATTCTAGAAGCCATTAAGAACATTCGTGATTCATGAGAGGAGGTAAAGATCTCAACATTAACAGAAGTTTGAAAGAAGTTGATTTCAACCCTCATGGCTGACTTTCAGGGGTTTGAGACTTCAGTGGAGGAAGTAACTTCAGATGCGGTAGAAATAGCAAGAGAACAAAAATTAGAAGTGGAGTCTAAGATGTGACTGAATTGCTGCAATCTCATGATAAACACTGAACAGCTGAGGAGTTGCTTCTATGGATGATCAGAAAAAGTGGTTTCTTGAGGTGGAATCTATGCCTGGTGAAGATGCTATGAATGTTATTCACATAACAACACAGGATTTAGAATGTTACATCAACTTAGTTGAGAAAGCAGTGGCAGGGTTTGAGAGGATTGACTCCAGTTTTGAAAGAAGTCCTACTGTGGGTGAAATGCTATCAAACAGCATCTCATGCTACAAAGACATCTTTCACGAAAGGAAGAGTCAACCGATGCGGCAAACTTCATTGCTGTCTTATTTTGAGATACTGCCACAGCCTTCCCACCCTTCAGCAACCACAACCCTGATTACTCAGCTGCCATCAACATTGAGGCAAGACCTTCTGCTGACAAAAACACAACTGGCTGAAGGTCCAGATCATTAGCATTTTTTAGCAATATTTTTAAATTAAGGTATGTACATTGCTTTTTTAGACATAATGCTATTGCACACATAATAGAAAATAGTATAGTGTAAACATAGCTTTTTTTATGCACTGGAAAACCAAAAAATTTCTGTGACTGACTTTATTATGATATTTGCTTAATTGTAGTGGTCTAGAACCGAACTGACAGCATCTCTGAGGTATACCCGTGTTTATTTATTGGCCCCTTATCTGAGGAGGGGGCTA
Source organism: Homo sapiens (assembly GCF_000001405.40). Taxonomy (NCBI): domain Eukaryota; kingdom Metazoa; phylum Chordata; class Mammalia; order Primates; family Hominidae; genus Homo; species Homo sapiens. The sequence goes on along the minus strand of NC_000006.12, from coordinate 4,641,319 downwards.
AAGCCAAGATAATCATAGTGTTAAATTAAGTTTAGCCTAAAGTGGTTTCCTTACATATTTTAAGTTCAGCCTAAAGGTTTCTCCATACATAGTGAACTGTAACCTAACTGGATGCATAAACAGACTGTAACCTGCTTTTGTGTCAATAACCAAGTTTCAGCCAATCAGAGGTGACCAACAATTCAAATCATCCTCAAATAAGGCAAACGCGGAACTGCAACCCATCTGGCTATTTCTGTGCCTACTTCTATTTTCTGTACATCACTTTCTTTTTCTGTCCATAAATCTTCTTGGACTGCACTGCAGGGCTGGAGTCCCTTTGAGCCTACTTTGGTTCGGAAGGCTGCCCGATTTGTGAATTGTTCTTTGCTCAATTAAACTCTGTTAAATTTCATTTGTCTAAGATTTTTCTTTTAACAGTTGCCAGTGGCAGCAAATCAAAAGATCTCTTTAGACTCTCGATCCCAGAAATACCGTCTGGGGATAGTTTTGGTTGGCACAACTTGAGGAGTGCTACTAGCATCTACTGGTAGAGACCAGAGATTCTGCTGAACATCCTACAACTCACAGGACAGGACTTCACAACAAAGAATTGTCTGGCCCAAAATGTGAATAGTGTTGAGGCTGAGAAACCTTGCACTAGAGGAACTTAGAAGTTACTGACTGACACCCAGTTAAGAGAAAGTTGCTTGGAAAAATTGATCTCAGAGGAAAGGAAAACAAAATAGTAAATCTGTTTAACTTACAACATTTCTACCAGAAAATAAAGTTGAAGGAAAAGTTCAGCTCATTTGTTAAAATGCCCCATTGCCAACCCTTTCTTTCCCACCTGGCTGTTTATTCAGTGGGAAACTGACGTTTCTGACTTTGACTAGGCATGTAGCAATGCCAAACAAATGACTTCAGGAAAAACGTGCTCCTGAATCACTGCTGAGCAGTATCGTCATCACTTTAATTTGTTTAGTTTCTCCTTGGTCAGGAGCACCCAGCTTCCCAGGTGTGAGCAGTTTAGGCAATTCTTCCTAGTTCCCATTTCCTTCTGGAGGAAATGTGTGGTATGCATGGGCAGGGTTGGGGAGGGGAAGGAGCCCATGATAGAATCCTTAGGGGATGGTGGAAACTTCTGCCGGGATCTTCCCTTCAGAGGGTGTGATCTTGGCTGAGGGGAGGCTATTGATGAAACGTAACTGTTTTACACACTTATAATACATTTATTTTGGGAGATCAGGGTTCAGAGGTTATTTTAACATTGTTTTGATGATTAATGTGTAGAATTTACATACATGTTTTAATAGTACAAATGATTTGAGTGCTCATGTGTTTTATTGGTGAGCCTAATTTTTTACCCATGAAGAATTATTAATTAATTCACCATCAAGGATTTATTGCATGTCAGTTTTGTACAGACATGCTGCTATGTACAGTGTCATGGGGACTTACAGTCTGGTGGGAGAGACAGCCGAGTAAAAGGATAATGGCAATACTGTGTGCTAAGTGCTGTGATGTGACAGTTATAGGGCACTCTGGGAGCATGGTTAAAAGAGGTCCCTTCAGCTGAGACCTGAGACTTGCAGGTTAACAGGAGTTAGCTATACAGAGTATAGGGAGGAGCAGGGGCCAGGATGGGAGATGGTATTCCCTGAACAGCAGTAAACATGTTCAAAAGTTCACAGGTTAGGAAAAGAGCATGAAGAGTTCAGTGGATTTTTTTTTTTTTTTTTGAGACAGAGTCTTGCCCTATCTCCCAGGCTGGAGTGCAGTGACATGATCTTGGCTCACTGTAGCCTCCGCCTCCTGGGTTCAAGCGATTCTCATGCCTCAGTTTCCCAAGTAGCTGGGATTACAGACATTCACCACCATACCTGGTTAATTTTTGTAATTTTAGTAGAGAAGGGGTTTCACCATGTTGGCCAGGCTGGTCTCGAACTCCTGGCCTTATGTGATCTGCCCACCTCAGCCTCCCAAAGTGCTGGGATTACAGGCATGAGCCACTGCACCTGGCTGAGTTCAGTGGATTTTAAGAGCTATTTTGAAGATATAGACTTAGGATTCAGGTGCATATGCAGTGGAAACTTTATTCATTGGACTGATTGACATGGGATCACATGTGGAACAAGGAGAGAACAGGACCCAAGAGGGACACGAACAAGAGACGGGCAAAAGAAGAGGAGCCAAGGTGGACAAAAATTGGCAAGAGAATCTGAAAAGACAAGCCACAGGTGATCAAAGTAATTGCAACTGCAATATGCGAAGACTTTTGACAAATCAGTAAGGCAGAGTGAACAACCCAGTGGAAAAATGGACAGAGGAAATGAAAAAGCATTTCATAAACAAATGAAAAGATTCACTGCCTTATTGGTAATCTGGGAAAGGCTAATTAAAGCCACAAAAGAGATATTATTTTGCAACCATGAGATTAGCAAGTTAAGGATTCTGACCATACCAAATATTGGTAAGAATGTGGAGTAACTCCGATATGCTGCTGGTGGGAGTGTAAACTGGTGCAACCACTTTGTAAAAGAATTGGGATTAACAGTAAATATAGAGATGCATATATGCTACATGTTCATGGGAGCCAGGTTGCTTGTGGCAGTATCATCTATAATAACAAAAAACTGGAAATAACCAAAATATCCATTGTTGGTAGAATAAATAATATACTTTTGTCTGTTCATAAAATGGGATACTATAGAGTAGTGAAAATTAACAAACTACAATTATATGCATGCTATGGGTTGAATTGTGTCTCCCCAGCATTCCTCTGTTGAAGTCCTAACCCCCAGGACCTCAGGACTATATTTGGAGGTGGGTTCTTTAAAGAGGTGATTGAGTTAAAGTGAGGTCTTTAGGGTGGCCCCTAATCCAACCTGATTGGTGTCCTTATAAGAAGGGGAGATGAAGACACAGACTCACACAGAGGGAGGACCATGTGGGGACACAGGGAGAAGATGCCATCTGCAAGCCGAGGACAGAGGCCCCAGGAGAAACTGATCCTGCCCATGCCTGGATCTCGAACTTCAGCCTCCAGAACTGGTGAGAAAGTAAATTTCTGTTGTTTAAGCCCCTAGTCTGTGGTATTTTGTTATGGCAGCTGGAGCAAACTAATACAGTGTGTCAACATGAATGGATTTCAGAAATATAATGTCTTGTGAAACTTCAAGTCACAGAACACTCACAGTGTGATTCCATTTAGGAAAGATTAAAAAAAAAGACACATAGTTTAGGGACACACACACACACACACATACACATTTGACAAAGTTTTACTTTCTTACACTCATTTCAAAAGAAGGAGCATAATTTCCTTTCTCTTGAGTGTGGGCCGGACTTCATGACTCACTTCCAATGAACAGAACAGAACCTGTGATAGTGTGTGACTTCTGAGATGAGTCATGAAAGGCAGAGTGGCCTTCTCCTTGCTCTCTCTCAGATCACTTGCTCTGGAGGAACCCAGGTGCCATATTCTGAGAGCACTCAAACAGGCCATTGGAGAGGTCCCTGTTACTACAGCAGCGCCTCTCATTGGATGTGCCCTTCTGCAATGCACTCTTGCCAGAGGCTCACTCAGTTTTGGAGCTAATCAGATTCAAGCGACTGCTGGTAACCAATAGAATGCAGTTGAATCCACAGAACTTCATTGCTGACATCCGAAGCGAGGTCAAAAAAGGTCTAGCAGCTTCTGCCTTGGTGTCTTGGAACTCTTGTTCCCCAGACACTGCCTCTTGGAACCCAACAGCCATGATGTGAAAAGCCCAACTCACATGCAAGACCACATGTAAGTCAACCCAGCTTCAAGAAGCTTCCGGATGGTTCCAGCCTCCAGTCATCAAGCCACCCCGGTCTTTGAGTTTTCCAGTTGAGGCCTCCCTCACACACTATGGAACAGAAACAAGCTGTTCCCATTGCCCTGTCCAAACGCCTGACCCACAGAAGCTGTGGGCATAGCGAAAATGGCTGCTGGTCAATGCCACTGTGTTGGGATAGTTTGACAGGCAGCTGTAGAAAACTGCAGCAGTAATCATCACATTCTCACTTGGCATCCTTTTTGTCTGTGTCCACCCTTTCCATTCTCCTGCCCAAATTTTTAAGGATCACCTCCTAATAAGTCCCTTTTGTACTAATTTGTGTCTGCTTCAGGGGAACCTTAGCTGAGACACCCCTGAACCCCGTCTGGCCTGGAAGTTGGGGTGGGGAAAGGAGCTATGAGGATTTTGAGGGACAAGCACAGATACACCCATGGCTGAGGAAATCTGACCTAGAAAACAAACACCTGGGTGTGTCCTTGGCTCTGCTGAAGCAGCCCCGGGACATGGGAGTACCAGGGTAAATATAGTCAGGAAGGCTTGGCAGGTGGGAGTAGCTGGCAGGTGGGCCATGTGGCCTACCCTTCAGAATGCCAGGGAAATTGGTTAAGGGGAACAGCTGACTTAATTTTTTCAGGAAAGATGAACAAACAGAGGACGAGGAAGGAAGAGAAGGCAAGGCAAGGTGACGGGCCAAAGCTCTTGAGGCTGCTTTCAGGCCAGCGTTTCATCTGGGAGAACTGCTGATTCACTGAGTTCTTCGGTCTCCGCGGCTCTTCGTTCAGGGAGCTGCTGCCCCAGGAGGCAGGCAGGTTGGACCCGGACCAGGCCAGAGGCGGGGGCTGTGCCAGCCCACTCTACCAGCATTGCAGAGACACTGCAGGGTGAAGGGGAGACTCGGGAAAAAAAAGATGGAAGAGCTTGCTTATAAAAGATCCATTGGGATTTAAGGGTAACACAGACATATGCTTAAAAAATTCATACCAATTTATATTCTCTACAAAAGAACATATAGTAAAAAATAAATGTGCATCCCCAACTCAACTCCCAGACCTCCATTTGCCCACTGCGGAAGCAACAGCTGTTGCAATTTCTTATGCATCTTCCAGAGATACTCTGTGCATAGAGAAGCTTATGTGGATATACAGTCATGACCTCCCGATACGTTTTCCACACAATTGACAGCATACCGTAACCTGTCATGAGCTGGGGCTGGCCATATCAGCTTACAGGAGCCAACTGTGAAATTTTCAGGAATGCTGTGAGCTGGTTGTTAACATAGTGATTATTAAACACTAAATTATGTGACCTTATAATTAATTAGCTAAAAAGCAAATAGTCAAAACTCACGGCTTCCTGATGATTTTTCCACATCTCAACATTATGTGTTCTTGAGGTTATTCACATCCATTGGTAGAGTGGAAATACCATACAATGATGTGCTATTCGTGTTTCTTCTCAATTCTGCATTTAGTGAGGACTTGTCAGTGGCTTCCAATTGGTCATGGTGGGAGTATTTACACTTTGGAGATCAGCAAACATTACAAATCAGATCTTGTTCTATGGGTTGTTCATTGTCCGGACCAGAGGTCTGCAAAAGTTGTCTGTAAAAGGCCAGATAGTATATATTTTAGGCTTTGTGGGCCACACGGTCTCTGTTGCAACACTCAACCCTGTTGTTGTAGTGCAAAGGCAGTCGTGGATAAGTCATGAACGTGGCTATGTTCCAGGCTTTATTGGCAAAGCCAGATAGCAGGCTAGATTCGGCTCAAGGGCCATGGTTTGCTGACTCTTGGTCTAGACTTAAGAAAGTGATGGAGAAAATAATAAGAAGAAGAATTAACATGAGTGTTATGTCTGAGTCTGTTACATTGTGATGAGCACAAAAACTTCAGGAAATATTCTTCCAGTATTCAAAAACTATCATCTAATTCAGCAAAGAAGTTGCTCATGTCATTGATAGACAAGTGAAGTTCCAACATACATATTTGTTGTCTCATTTCCATTTTAATTATGAATAAAAATGAAATATCAACCAACATTCATGTTTGAACCACACACATTTGTCAATGATATGAGCAACTTCTCTGCTGATCAAATTATAATTAAGCTTATTCAGAGTATTATTTTGGGACACAATCATGGATGATAAAATTATTAACGACATTGGAATTTTTAAGAAATAGCAAGTCACATTGACATTATAGAATGGAATTTACAATAAAGACTTGTATATTTTATTTGCAAATTATGTACTATACATCCTTTTTATTAGTAAACTTTGTAATTATCTCATGTACATATCTGTGTACTTATAGTGTTTTTATGTTGTTAAGCATTTACCAGTATAGCATTGTACATAACTGTTCAGAACTTGGCTTTTGTTCACTTCATATATTTTGAAGAATCTTTTGTACATATATACCTGCCTCATTCTTTTCAGCAACTCTATATTTTTAAACAACTTCTAGTATTTTAGAGTCCCTGTTTGTTTAAATACTCTCTTAGTGATAGATATCTAGGCTGTGTGTCAACCTTTCTCCATTGGAAGCAATGGTACATACAGCAAACAGCCTTTTATACCTCCCACTACACACATATACAAATATATCTGTAGCATAAATTCTTAGAAGCAAAATTGTTGGGCTAAAGAGCACAAGTATTTGCAATTGTGATAGATATTGACAAATTGCTTTTCAAAGACGTTGAACCAATCTATACTCATATCAAGGATGCAAGAGAGTGCCCATTTCTGTATACCTTTGTCAACATGGCATATTATTATACTTTTTTTTTTTTTTTTAAGAGACAGGGTTGGCCAGGCATGGTGGCGCACGCCTGTAATCCCAGTACTTTGGGAGGCCGAGGCGGGCGGATCGTGAGGTCAGGAGATTGAGATCATCCTGGCTAACACGGTGAAACCCTGTCTCTACTAAAAATACAAAAAATTAGCCAGGCGTGGTGGCAGGCACCTGTAGTCCCAGCTACTCGGGAGGCTGAGGCAGGAGAATGGTGTGAACCTGGGAGGCAGAGCTTGCAGTGAGCTGAGATAGTGTCACTGCACTCCAGCCTGGGCGACAGAGTGAGAATCTGTCTCAAAAAAAAAAAAAAAAAAAAAAAAAAAAAAAAAAAAAAAAAAAGACAGGGTCTCAGTGTATTTCCCAGGCTGGAGTGCAGTGGCATGGTTATAACTCACTGCAGCCTCAACTCCTGGGCTCAAGCGATCCTCCCACCTCAGCCTCCTGGGTTGCTAGGGCTACAGGCATGTGTCAACATGCCCAACTAATTTTTTAAAGTTTTTGTAGAGATGGGGTCTCAACATGTTACCCAGGCTGGTCTTGAACTCCTGGCTTCTAGCTATCCCTCATCTTACCTGTAATCACAGTACTTTGAGATTACAGGCATGAGCCACTGCGCCTGGCCTTATTATACTTTTTGATTTTGCAAAGTCAATGGATGAAGATGGTATCTTACTAAAGTTTAACTTGCATTTCATTTTTATTTTTTATTATAATCTTTTGTGTGTCTCTCTGTCACCCAGGCTGGAGTGCAATGGCGTGATCTTGGCTCACCGTAACCTCTGCTTCCTGGTTTCAAGCATTTCTGTCTCAGTCTCCCAAGTAGCTGGGACTACATGCATATGCCACCATGCCCGGCTAATTTTTCTATTTTTAGTAGAGACGGGGTTTTGCCATATGGATCAGGCTGGTCTCGAACTCCTGACCTCAGGTAATCCACCCACCTCGGCCTCCCAAAGTGCTGGGATTACAGGCGTGAGCCACTGCACTGGACTCATTTTTATTCTTATTTTTTTCCCTATCCACTAGACAACCAGGGAGATCTTACATTTCATTTGTTTTGAGGGAGAGTGAACACTTTTCTGGTGTTTAATACCACTTGTGTTAACAGCCTTGTCAGCTATTTATAGTTCATTTTTTATTGTGCTTTCCTACTAATATGCAAGATTTCTGTATGTTCCCCAACAGAATATGAGCTCCATAAGGCAGGGAATTCTAATTGTTCTGAAGTCTCAAATGCTTGGAATGGTGCCTGGCGCATAACAGTTGCTCATTAAATATTTGTTAATTAATTAATTATTATGGGATTTAGCCCCTTGTCTGTTGGGTATGTTATGTTACCTTATTATCTCCCAGTTTGTCGCTTGTCTTTTACTTTGTGGCATTTTTTGTCCTTTCAGGAATTTTTAATTTTTAGATAGGCAAATTAAAACTTTTTTCTCTATAGCTTTTGTACCTTTGTGTCTTATTTGGAAAGGTATTCTTTCTTTCTTTCTTTCTTTCTTTGAGATGGAGTTTCACTCTGTCTCCCAGGTTGGAGTGCAACGGCACGATCTCGGCTCACTGCAACTCCACCTCCCAGGTTCCAGCCATTCTCCTGCCTCAGCCTCCCAAGTAGCTGGGACTACAGGCGCCCGCCACCATTTTTGTATTTTTAGTAGACACGGAGTTTTGCCATGTTGGCCAGGCTGGTCTTGAACTCCCGACCTCAGGTGATCCATCTGCCTTGGCCTCCCAAAGTGCTGGGATTACAGACGTGAGCCACCGTGCGGAAGGTATTCATTTCTAGAAAAAAAGAAAAATTCTCTGATGTGATCTCCTAGGAATTTATAGTTTGATTATTTTTATATTTAAATCTTTGAAACATCTGGAAATTCTGTTAGATAAGTGATAAAGTGGCATCAGATATTATTTTTCCATTTGGCTGCCCAGTTGTTCTGAGATACTCATTGAAATATCTCATTCCCCCAGTGATTTAAATTCCACTTGATCATACATTGAATTCCCATATGCGGTTGGTCTATTTCTAGTCTCTCTATTGCTCCGTCTGTGCATTCACATGCCAGCACCAAGCTGTTTTCATTATTAATGCCTACTCTCTTACATGTTGTTTACAGCATCTGAGTGAGCAAACTCATGTTGAGTATCAATGTGGTTAACCCATCTTTGGCTTTAGGCCTACATGTAAAGTACATCTGAAGTACTTTCACAGACATTCATCTCACTTGAGTTTTATGGTACCTCTGAGGAGCAGATGGTAGAAGTTGCCCCCTTTTGCATATGAGGAAGTTGAAGCTCAGAGAGGTTGGGGGACTTTTCCCCATGATTGTTCACCTAATAGTTTACGGAATGGATACTAAACAAGCTCTTATTCTTTCTTGTAATAAAATGTTGATTCATGGCAAAATGCTTTAATAAACAACTAAGATAAAAATTACTCCAAATCCTGTAACCTAATCAGATGACTGATTTGTTTCCATATATATTCTTCGTTCTTACGTATTGACTCCCAGGCTGTCCTCCTCAGCTCTTACCAAGAAGCTCCGGTGAGTTAATGTCAGAGAGCTTTGAAAAATAGGCTGGGCACGGGGGTTCACGCTTGCAATCTCAGCACTTTGGGAAGCTGAGGTGGGCGGATCACTTAAGGTCAGGAGTTTGAGACCAGCCTGGCCAACATGGCAAAACTCCATCTCTACTAAAAGTACAAAAATTAGCCAGACGTGGTGTTGCACGCCTGTAATCTCAGCTGTGCCAGCTACCTGATAGGCTGAGGCATGAGAATTGCTTGACCCCGGGAGGCGGAGGTTGCAGTGAGCCGAGATTGCGCCACTGCACTCCACGCACTCCAGCCTGGGTGACAGAGTGAGACTCCATCTCAAAAAAAAAAAAAAAAAGATAATGACTTGTATGTTGAAATACTTGTAGCACAGCTCTTAGCATATAGTATTAGCCCCATAAGTGATAGCTATTATTTATATTCGTATATGTATTCTTATTTCAGAGCATGAGCTGTGAAGTAAGACAGACTTGAGTTCCAGTCTCCACTCTTTCATTCATTAGCTGGGTGACATTGGACAAGTTGCTTTACCTTTCTGAGCCTTGGTTCCCTCATATGTAAAGGCCTTGTTATAAAACCCTCAGGGGTTTTGTGATATTTAAATGAGATGATGAATGAAGCCTGCCTCAGCATAGTGTCTGGCACATGGTAAACTCTTAATAAATATTAGTGATTTCTCATTGATTATGTTCTTCTGAGAATCCTAAACTTATTTCCTCATAAATGGGGGACTGTCCCTTTTTTTTTTTTCTTCAAGAAAACCAGGTATGGTTAGTTCTTCAGCTATACTGTATTCACTGATATACTCTTGTATACCTAATGAATCTCTGCTGTTTTATCTGAAAAAGCAGAAATAAAAATCGACACAGGCTGCTTACTTTAATTTAGATTCCATTTATTCTTGCTAAGTCCCACTGGATCTGTTGGCATTATTTGCTAAGAAAGGGTTTGTGAAATAAATTAATAGTGTAAACAAGACTCGGGCAGAGTGCTGAAAATAATTAAGGGAACTATTTCTAAGCAAGCTTAAATACTTTAGCAGCACCATCTACATACAGACAATGTATCTGAGATCTCTGCACCACTCATCTCCATTCTTGAAGTAGTAATTACAGCTAATTCTGCAGCACTCTCTCTCTGCACTCAGTATGAGTCTGAGGGCAGGTCCAGCCCTGTCCATCTCCGTTCCCTGTGTGCCCAGTATGGCAAATCTGCTCCTGGCAGGTGCTCAGAACATGTGGAAATAACAAATATGTCCCAAGAACCCTTGCTTAGAGACACTTCGTTATTCTAGATCAAGTGATTGATTTATCTTTGACAGCTGGCTGGACATTCCCAGTCAAATGTTCTGTGGTCCCTTCAAATTCAGCTACGTGCATTGTTTCATTTATAAAATTAGCTCCTCACCCCAGTTTCCTTTTTTGTTTTTCACCAGGCATCATCATTTTTCCAGGCTAAAAACTTGGAGTTGGCTGTGTGTGTTGGCTCACACCTGTAATCCCAGAACTTTGGGAGGCTGAGACTGGAGTATGGCTTGAGCCCAGGAGTTTGAGACCAGCCTGGGCAACAGGGCGAAACCCTGTCTCTACAAAAAATACAAAAATTAGCCAAGTGTGGTGGTGTGTGCCTGTAGTCCCAGCTACTTGGGAGGGTGTAGAAAGTAAAAAGTTTCCTCTTCAAAGTTTCCCTTCTTGTTAAAGAATAAATCATAAATGTTAGAAATAATAGTTTCTTTTAAAGACTAACTTCCTTCAAGCCTCTTCTCTTTGTGCTAATAACTCTTTGTTAAGCCCTATCTTATGTGGCTGCTAGATATAAGGGGATAAGTACATTCTCTGTCCTTGTACTTTAACCAAGATATTTGTAGTGGACATGCTCACAGGCACATTCCAGCTCACAGCCTATGCCCCTTCCTTATTTGGAAATATTATTACTTTTCTAAGTCCTCTCACAAGCAACTTCCTCTTTTCCTTTGTTCTCTTTTGCCTTTACCTATTTAGGAAAGTTTTTAATTATTAGCCAGTTGGGTTTAATTTAGATTGTGCAGTCTGGCTCCAGCCAGTGGAGACAGGACACAGTAACAGGGACAAACTGCGTAAGGGATAAAAATTGCTTCCCTCCTTTGTTCAGGTGTGCTCTTGCCATTGTTCCATCTGCAAGGAGCACCCTTTCTGCAGAAAGTAAAATTGCCTTGCTGAGAAAACTTTTTGTCTAAATGCTGATTTTTCCTTGTGGTACCAAGGAACAAGCATTCTGTTTCTAAATAAACATTTTACTTATAACAGAGGCCTAAGGTAGAAGGATTGCTGGGAGTTCAAGGCTTTGGTGAGTCATGGTCATGCCACTGCACTCCAGCCTGGGTGAGAGAAGGAGACTCTGTCTCAAAAACTCAAAGAAAACAGAACCTTGGAGTCCTGTTTGCTTTCCTCTTCCCCTTCCTCCTACAAGCCACCCAGTCCACTGTGCTACCTTCCAAACATTTGTTGTCTCTGTCACCCCCACTCATTGGATGGCATCCTTTGGTCTAGGCTCCATCACCTCATGCTTGGTGCTGAAATGATCTCACTGTCTTCAGCAAAGACCCCTTCTAATTCTACATTATTTTTATATCAGATGGTAATACGTTACGTTTCCTTTCTTTGGAAATTAAAAGGTGAGCAGTCCCCAAAGAAATGTGTAAGAAAAAAGGGTGTTAGTTTCCTCTCAATTCCCCTCCAATTCCACTTCCTTGAAGGTAATCATTGTTAACAATTTGATGTGTACTTTTCCGTATTCTCCTCCATGCTTGTGTATAGTTTTTAAAAAATGGGTCCTATAGTGCATGTGATCCAATGGAGAAAGGATAGTTCTTTCAAGAAATGGGGCTGGAACATCCTGGATACCACATAGGAAAAATGAACCTCTATCCTTATCTTGCATTATACACAAAAATTAAAATGAAATTGATCACAGACTTAAAGGTAAAACTAAATTGATCACAGACTTAAAGGTAAAACTAGGCAAAGTTTTTTTAGAACACAAAAAGCACCAGTTATAAAATAAACAATTAGAAAGTTGGGCCTTATCATCAAAGTTAAAAACTCCTCTTTGAAAAAGCACCATTAAGAAAATGAAGATGTAGGCTGGGCATGGTGGCTGATGCCTGAAATATGAGCGGTTTGGGAGGCCGAGGCAGGCAGATCATTTGAAGCTAGGAGTTTGAGACCAACCTGGCCAACATGGCGAAACCCTGTCTCTACTGAAAATACAAAAACTAGCTGGGCTTGGGGGCACACGCCTGTAATCCCAGCTACTCCAGTAGCTGAGGCATGATAATCACTTGAATCGAGGAGGCAGAGTTTGCAGTGAGCTGAGATCGTGCCATTGCACTCCAGCCTGGGAGACAGAGCGAGATTCTGTCTTATTAAAAAGAAAATGAAAATGCAAACCTCTGACTTTAAGAAGATGTTTTGCAATACATATATCTAAAAACTTGGCTCAAGAATATATAAAGAACCCTTGCCAGGCGTGGTGGCTGATGCCTGTAATCCTACCACTTTGGGAGGCCGAGGCAGGCAGATCACCTGAGGTGAGGAGTTTGAGATCAGCCTGGTCAATGTGGTGAAACCCCGTCTCTACTAAATATACAAAAAATTAGCCAGGTGTGGTGGTGGGTGCCTGTAATCCCAGCTACTTGGGAGGCTGAGGCAGGAGAATCCCTTGAACCTGGGAGCTGGGAGGTGGAGATTGCAGTGAGCTGAGATTGCACCATTGCACTCCAGCTTGGGTGACAGAGTGAGACTTCATCTCAAAAAAATAAATAAATAAAAATAAAAGGCCCGGTATGGTGGCTCATGCCTGTAATCCCAGCACTTTGGGAGGCCGAGGCGGGAGGATCATGAGGTCAGGAGTTTGAGACCAGCCTGGCCAACATGGTGAAACCCTATCTCTACTAAATATACAAAAATTAGCCGGGTGTGGTAGCACGCTTCTATAGTTTCAGTTACTCGGGAGGCTGAGGCAGAAGAATCGCTTGAACCTGGGAGACAGAGGTGTCAGTGAGCTGAGATTGCACCACTGCACTCCAGCCTGGGGGACAGAGTGAGACTCCATTTCAAAAAAAATAAATAAATAAAAATAAAAAACTCTTACAATTCAACAATAAGACAATCTAATTAAAAAATAGGCAAAGAGTCAGTTCGCAAAAGATATTCAAAGCAATAAATGCGAATATAAATTGCTGATAAGTACAAATAGATGCTCAGCATTAGTTTTCATGTCAATGCAAATTAAAGCCACAATGAGATACCACTGTACATCTAATTAAATGGTTAAAATGTAAAAGACTGACAATACTGAGTGTAGGCAAAGATGTAGAGCAACTGGAAATCTCATGCATTGCTGGTAGGAGAATTGTTTGACATTTCCTTATACAGTTAGACACACACTTAGCATGTGACCTAGGAATTTCTCTCACAGTTACCCGAGAAAAATGAAAAAGCATGTTTGTCCAAAGACATGTACACACATGTTAATATCAGCTTTATAAAACAGGTAAAAACTGAAAGCAACACAAAGGGCACACACTATATGATTCCATGTATATCAGATCCTAAATTAGGCAAAATTAATCTATAGGGACAGAGAGAAATTCAGTGATTTCCTGGGGCTGGTAGGGAGATTAACTGCAAAGAGGCACAAAGGAACAATTTTGGGTAATGGAAATGTTTGGTATCTTAACTGTGGTGGTGGGAAATGGATGTATGTATTAGTTAAAACTCATTGAATGGTATGCTTAATAGATGTATTTTATTGCATGACAATTATAACTTAAAATCTCTGTGTGTGTGTATGTGTGTAACAAGAATCTGCAGTTTGTGTGATTTTACTTTTTTTGCTTAGCAGTGTATCATGGCTGGGTGCAGTGGCTCATGCCTCTAATCCCAGCACTTTGGGAGGCCAAGGTGGGAGGATTGCTTGAGCCCAGGAGTTCCAGTAGCCTGGGCAACATATGAGACCTTGTCTCTTAAACAAAAAACAAAACCCAAAGCCAAAAACAGCTAATATATCATGGACATTGCTCTGGGTAACACAGAGAGACCTAGCCCATTCTTTTTAATAGTTGCATACTGTTTCATAGTATGAATACATTCTTTTTGATGGACATTTAGAATTTTCCCTTTTTCTTAACAAACACGTCTGCAATAAGCACCTTTGTATGTATGTTCTAATATGCTACGATTTTTATTTCTGAAAGTGTGAGTTTTCAAAGATTGCATTGCTGGTTCAAGGGGGTATGGGCATTTACAATTTTAACAGATGTTGTAAAATCCTGCCCTTTTCTTTTGATATTTATATTTTATCTTCAGCAAATCAACTGTTCATTTCTTTTGATAAATTTTCTTCAGGGTATTCTTTTGAAAAATTCATTTTTTCTATCAATATCTCAGCAGAGCTCTTTGTGTATTGCCTATTTGGTTATTAGAAAATTATTTTTGTAGCCCTTCTCACCCATCTTTTTATTTAAGGGACACAATGTAGTCATTGAACAAATCTCTCTAAAATAACTCCTAAGGCTTAGCACTCTTTAAAAGCAAAGCCTCACTGGAAATTTATAAACTCTTAAGAATTATCAGATGAGCCGGGAGTGGAGGCTGAGGTGGGAGGATCACTGGAGGCTGGCCAGGAGTTCAGGGTACAGTGAGCTGTGATTGTGTCACTGCACTCCGGCCTGGCCCACAGAGCAAGATCCTATCTCAAAAAAAAAAAAAAGTTAACAGAAAAGAAGTTTTCACTTTTTGAGTTTACATAAATTTCTAAAAATTGAGATGTGCCTTTACCTAAAAATAAAAATATTCAAAGAGGGTTATAAGAATTACACTATATTCAATAGTATAGTTGCTTAATTGTAGTATATTGGTTTCTTTTAGAATTAAAAAACTAAGAGGGCATTGCCACATGGCACCAATGCTAGATCAATGTCACTCCAATGTGACTAGGAAAACATTGTATTCATTCATAATGGAATAAAGTTTCAATATTTCATACTGTGTATTTCTTATGCCTCTACAGCTCCAAAATCCAGTTGATCTTTTTCCATTTTTGAGGATTGACGGGCCCCTAAAACTTCATTAATGGGAGCAATTTTTTTCACAAAATATACTCCAACCCATTAACGAATCTGGCAGTTTCTAGAATTGGTCATCCATAACAATCTCAATGGGATGTAGATGCGTCCTAAGACTGGAAGAAAAAAGTGCTGGAGTGTAGACTGTTTTGTGCATTGAATTAGCCTAGGATTATGAGATGTGATCCTTTCACCATGAAGAGGGGGTAGGTCTTTCTTTCTCCCTTTACCGTATGCCCAGGAAGCTTCAGGTCCTGGTGCACAGGTTTGGCTCTTGGAAGCTGGACATTTTGTATTGCGTCATAAATGAACCGTCCTTCATTCCCGACCCCATGAAGAAGGCAGCACTTCCCCTACCTCCCCAGGGGAGGTGTGAGACCTGAGTGTGGCCACCTCAGCTTTCCTCCCCCATGTGGATAAGGCCAACCCAGCACCCTGCCTCCATTCTGGGAGGCAGGTCGCAGCTAAGAAATCACAGGGTTCAACCTCCAGTCCACTTTGTACACCGTTCCAGACCTGTCTTTCTAAAACTTTCTCTTAAACTACTTCCCTCCCAGACGGTTAGCAAGCTTCCCACCATCTTCTGCATAAAGAACAAACACATATCAGGGAGCTTTATAAGCTGATCCCCCGACTGGCATCCACCCTGCCTCACAGAGCGGTCAGCCGTTCTCCTCCTCCCAAGTCTGCTCACCAGCCTCCTGCCAAGAGGGTCTTCTACTCCTGAACGCTTCATCCTTGTCTCCCTGCCCTTTGTGCCCTCGATCAGGGATGTGCTTGCGCACAAAGACATCCCCGATCCTTCTGGGTCTATGCTGATCTCTCTTGCACCTGAGCTTCCTGAGGATCTGTGTTTGTGTTTATCAAGGCTTTACATGATGTGTTATCTTTTGGAATTGCCATTTTGTGAGCATTTATTTCTTCTCTCTGCATTAGCATGTGGTGTGCGCTCAATGGCCACGTCAGATGTTCCTCCTGCTCCCCTCCTTGTCCTGAACGCCTACAGGTAGCTCCACAACGACCCGTTTCATCCAATTATATGCCCATATTTGTAAGCAAGAGCACTGCATTCCTTCATAAAAATGCAGTGATTCAGATTAAGTAATTCAGACTTGCTTGCTCCCAGTTGTTCTGAATTCTTGGGATTCAATTATTCAGCATTTTTGAGATCTGACTAGTTGCAAGGTACTGTGCTATGTGTGGTGGTGGTGGGACACAATGGCAAGCAAAAAAAAAAAAGCAAACAAAACTCCAAAAACAAACCATCAACCCCCGCCCCCCACCCCAAAACACAGTGCCTGGTTTCTTGTGGCTAAATGTCTCGTGGCCTCAGAGAACCACACCAGAAGTGCAGGCTTGGCTAGAGTGGGAGATGCCACGTGATTTTGAGAGCCTCAAAGAGGAAATTGCCCCATTTGGGAAGGTGATGGAAGGCTTCCCTTAGGAGGCAGTCATTGCCCTGTGGACTGAAGGAAGCTAGGAGTTAACCAGCAAAGGTGGGAATGGAGAAGGGAGGAGAGGATTCCTGCCAGAGGGATGGTGCTGGAAGAAGGAGGCCACAGTCAGAGAAGGGGAGGAGGTTCCAGAGATGGATGGGGATGGGTGAGATTGCATAGTGGGATGAGGCCAGACCTGTAAGGTTTTGTAGCTTATGTGAAAAGCACTGGATGCCAATGGATTATTTATTTTTACTTTTATTTTTTGAGGTGGAGTCTTGCTCTGTTGCCCAGGCTGGAGTGCAGTGCCATGATCTCAGCTCACTGAAACCTTTGCCTCCTGGGTTCAAGTGATTCTCCTGCCTCAGCCTCCCTACTAGCTGGGACTACAGGTGCACACCATCCTGCCCGGCTAACTTTTGTATTCTTGGTAGAGACAGGGTTTCACCGTGTTGTCCAGGCAGGTCTCAAACTCCTGACCTCAGGTGATCTTCCCACTAGGCCTCCCAAAATGCTGGGATTACAGGCATGAGCCACCGCACGTGGCCGCCAATGCATGATTTTAATGGGGGGACTGGAACACCCTTTTGGCACTGGGAAAAGACCACCCTGGCTGTCGTATCAAGAATGGAAGGGAGGGCATGGGGTGAGGGCAAGGAACCCAGTTAGGAGGCTACTGCAGTGGTCCAGGTGAGAGATCATGGATGCTCAAGTTAGGATGGCAGGAAAGACAAAGAGAAGAAGCTTCATGATTAACAATTAGTAGGGCGTAGTACTGAGTTGGATCTAGAGGTGAGGGAGAGGGCACGGTGTGAGGGCAAGGAACCCAGTTAGGAGGCTACTGCAGTGGTCCAGGTGAGAGATCATGGATGCTCACGTTAGGATGGCAGGAAAGACTAAGAGAAGAAGCTTCATGATTAACAATTAGCAGGGCGTAGTACTGAGTTAGATCTACAGGTGAGGGAGAGAGGAGTGTATACAGGTGCTGAGATTTCTGAGGAGCAATAGCGGGGTGGATGGTGGTGGCGTTCACCGGCGTATAATACTCACTGATAGAGGTTCAGACCTGGGAGGGCATGAGCCTGACTTTGGTTTTGGACATGTCAACTTGAAGAGCTTTTGAGATATCTGCAGCAGAGGATGCTGATACACTACTACAGCTGTTCTCCCCTTATTCTTTTAATGAGAAGTCCTCCTGAATTTAACTGGGAATACGCCTGTTCAGTTAGAGACATTTCCTAACCTTCCTTGCATTTAGGTGTGTCTACGCAATTGACTTCTGGCCAGTGGGATGTGAGTGAAGGTGATGTGTGCAGCTTCCGGGTCATACCCTTGGCAGGAAATAACTTATGGCGTCCCTCCTTCCCCCGCCCCCCTGCCGCTTCCCCTTCCTGCTGGCTGGGAAGCAAATGTGGCAATAGAAATTGCCATGGTCTTCTTGAATCCAGAGCTAGGAACCTTGTATTGAGGATGGCAGAACCCCTCCATTAGCTTGGGCCTGCCTATTGCTGGACTGTGATTTGAGAGGGAAATGTACTTCTACCTTTCTTAAGGCATTGTATTTTTGGGTCTCTTTGTACCTCAACCCATACAGTATCCAAGGGGAGATGTTAGGAAGGCATTTGCATATATGGACCTGGAGCTCAGAGAAGAAATCTGCACAGGTGATATGAATTTGAGAATTCTTGACATGTAGGAATAATGAAAGCCATGACTGTGGATGAGATTGTCTAGAGGGAGAGATTACAGAAAGAGGAGAAGAGTGGTCTGGGATAGAGCCCTGAAGAATTCATATATTTAAAGGCTAAGCTTGGAGAAGATGAGTGATCAAAGAAAACTGAAAAGGCTCAGCTAAAGCAATGTATGGAAACCCAGGACAGAGTAGGCTCACGGAGTCCATGAGCAAAGAATGCTTTAAGAAGGAGGGAGCAGTGAGCAGTGCTTGACTTAAACAGTGTCCTTTAGTGAGCTTTCACTGTACATTGGCCGGCTTGGCCAGTGATAGATGGAGTGTTCTTGTCCAACCAAGGGCTTGTTTGCTAATGGGGGTTATTATTGGCTAATGCAACTTCATAAAAACTGTGCGTATCTCTGGCAAGAACATGGGGAGATCTAATCATTATTTCTCAATCCAGTTTTCATGATATATTATCCAGAAACACTAAAATTTGTCAAACAGCATGATGCTTCATATGAAACCCTAAACAACTCTAAGTTTTTTTTTGTATCATTTCTCTAGATTCTAAAAATTCTTTTTTTAAAAATTCAAATTTTTAAAATTGTGGTAAAAAAAATCCTATAAAATTTACCATTTTAACCATGTTTTTGTGTTTGGTATACTCACATTGTTGTGAAACAGATCTCCAGAACTTTCAGTCCTGCAAAACTGTAACTATTCCAATTAAACAAGTCATCACTGCACTTCTTCTCAGCCCTTAACATTCCCCAGGCTCCTTTCTGTCTCCATGAATTTGACTACTCTAGATATGCTATACAGGTGGCATCATTTAGATTTGTTCTTTTGGGCGTGGCTTATTTCACTGAGCATAATGTCCCCAAGATTCATCCACATGGTAGCATGTGATGGGACTTCCTTCTTTTTAAGGTTGAATATCCTTCCATTGAATGTACATATGTAGGGTAAACACACCTGAGAGCAATAATTCAAGCATACCCTGAGAATCACCCCGTGTGGCAGATGCCCCTGAATGTGTGTTCTGAACTAGAGAATCTGGGTGTGGCCAACCTGGAGATTTGTTCTTTGTCTATGAGGGACATCTGAGCCCCCTACCCATCCCATGGAACTTGGGCCATATAGAGGATTGAGGTCCTAAGTTTTGGGTTGGCTGAAGGTTGCCAAGTAGGAGTCATTAAGGGAAGGGTATTCAGTGAAAATGCTATGTAAACTGCATGCTGTTTGCAAGTGGTTTTCCTGCAGATGTGGGGCCCAGCCTGCTGCCACTGGACTGTTTCTGTATGTAAGGGGGTTCTCCTGTCCAGCCTGCTGCCACTGTATGTAAGGCCCTAAAAAAGCCACAGGTCTCGTTTGCTGGCTTGGGGTCTCTTCTTCAGCCTCTTGACCCTGGTGCCTTCCCTACCGAGGTTAATAGGGGTTCGGCACAACAACATGCCACATTTTGTTTCTACAAATTAATTTTAAAAGAATTCACCTTCCAAACACTTATTCATCTGGTTAAGTTTCTTTTGGCCTTGTCTATCTAGAAAGCAATAGAAGAGAGATGGCAAATTGGCTATCAACTTTCCTTCTTTTTTTAGTCGGACAACCTTGATTCCATAAAATAGAATGGGTGCTCCCACTACTGACTTTCTTCCAGAAAACTGACCCACTAAGCAGTCACTGGCAAACTTTCCCTGCAAAAGGCCAGATCGTCTGTATTTTTGGTCTTGTGTCCATACCGCCCCTCTAATTACTCAACTACTCACTTTCAGGAAGGCTACCTGTCTCTTGCATTTTTGTAGCTATTTGTGTATTTGTTCACTGTGTGTCTTCCCTGTTAGACTGCATATTTTGAAGGCAGAGGCTGTCCCCTCCCACTCTCAAGGAATTCCTAGCACCTGGCACATCACCAAACACATAGTGAAGGCTTCACATGTGACCAATTTCCTCGTGCATCATGTAGTTGATGGGTACCTATGAATAAGGGAGGAGACCACCCCCTCATATTGTCTTATGCCCAATTTCTACCTCCAAAGAAAGAAGAAGTAAAAACTAAAAGGCAGAAATGAAATCTACGGGCGGACAGCCCGGTGCCACGCCCTGGGCCTGGTAGTTAAAGATGACCCCTGACCTAACTGGTTATGTTATCTGTAGATTCCAGACACTGTATGAAAAAGCACTGTGAAAATCCCTGTCCTGTTCTGTTCCGTTCTGATTACCGGTGCATGTAGCCCCCAGTCACGTACCCCCTGCTTGCTCAATTGATGACAACCCTCTCACGCAGACCCCCTTAGAGATGTGAGCCCTTAAAAGGGACAGGAATTGCTCACTCGGGGAGCTTGGCTCTTGAGACAGGAGTCTTGCCAATGCTCCCGGCTGAATAAACCCCTCCCTTCTTTAACTCAGTGTCTGAGGGGTTTTGTCTGTGGCTCTTCCTGCTACATGATGAAGGGAATATGGCATCTGTTGACTGACTGGCTAACTTTGTCTTAAGCGGAGGGAGTGTCCCTACAGTGACAATCAATTTGGGAAGGACATATTTTCACATGTATTTGCCTAGAGGACAATGTCCAGTTGTATAAAATATTGGTATGTCATTTTAATCTGTGACATTTTCTACAATAAAAGTTTCTCAACCAAATGTCTTCTAACCCTTTCTAACTGTCAGGGGTTTGGCTGTCAATGAGCAGGAATTAAAATAAGAATTTATGACAATTTAATAGCACTTTGAGGGAAAAGGGCAGAAGTATTCTCAGGATAATGTAAGAGTTAATGGCTCTGTATTAACATGAAAAAAAATGTTTTCTCCCTCTTCTTTCTGTTCGTAGTGACTTCAGAGCTCTCACATATGATGTGTGTTGCTCATTACACCGAAGGCCCTGGTCAGTGGGTAAATGGGCCGCCCTCTCCTCTCAGCTCTGCTGTCTCTGCTGGGTGCTCCAGCATGGGCTGCATCCACTAGAGGGGCACCTTTTCCTTATTCATACATGGACTTTTTTTTTTTTTTTTTTTTTGAGATGGAGTCTTGCTCTGTCACCAGGCTGAGCAAGTGGCATGGTCTTGGCTCACTGCAACCTCCACCTCCCAGGTTCAAGCGATTCTCCTGCCTCAGCCTCCCGAGTAGCTGGGACTGTGGGCGCCAGCCACCACACCCCACTAATTTTTGTATTTTTAGTAGAGTCAGGGTTTCACCATGATGACCAGGATGGTCTTGATCTCTTGACCTCGTGATCTACCCCCCTCGGCCTCCCAAAGTGCTGGGATTACAGGCGTGAGCCACTGCACCCAGCCCATACATGGACTTCTTAAAGGCTTGCTGTGCTGGCTGACTCCTGTATCATTTGACTTTTGTAGAGGTTTTTGTCTGGTGTGTACAACAGTCTCCTGCCTTATCTTTCTGTCTCTTGAGTTTTCCCTCAAATAGTCCCTTCCCCAACTACTGCTAGATGAATCTCATCATTCCCATGTTCAGAAAATGTCAGTGGATGCCCAACACACGCACAGGGAACTACGGATTTCCTAGCCTGGACTCCAGGCCTCCTCCTCTGGCCCTGTCTCACTTGTCCTGTGTTGGCTGCCTCTACCTCCCACCAGACACACTATACTCACTCCACCTGAGCTGGACAATGCTGGCCTCCCAGCTTTATGGGGCTAGTGATCAGTAACAATGGGGAGCATTTATTGACACCTATGTGGGTGCCAGGCACGATGCCGTGAGTTTTGCATGCCCTAGCTCATGGACTCCTCACAACTCTGTGAGAGAGGTCCTACAAAGCTACATCCTTCCAACCTTAAAGAGCTTTGCGTGCTGTCTCCTCTACTGAAAACAACCTACAAAGCAGATTCTACAAAACCATGTCTGATGCATCTCTTCATTCTATTTCTCTTACCTTTTACACATGCATTAGCTGATCTGTCTCAAGGACTCTGTGTGGTAGATATTATTATTCCCACTTTTCAGCAGAAAACACCGAGGCTCAGAGACATTAAATGGTTTTCCCCAAGATCACATAGTAAATTAAGACAGAACTGGTTCTCAAGCCTTGCTGTTGGTTTTATACCAAAAGTTGTGCTCTTAAAAGACCAGTGGTTCTTAAATGGAATCACCCAAAAGAATCACCACTCATTGTGACCTACTTTAAAATGGGCACCAACTCCAGAGATGCTGCCTCGGTAGTCCTGAGGCAGGGCCTGGGAGCATGCATGTTCAAGTTCAGGTGGTTCTGCTGTGGGTGTGTTTTGGAACACTGTATTAGACTACCCTGTTTCAAGTGATGACTTTTCAGATTTCCTTTTGTGAGATGTGGTCAGTACATTCAGCTGCTTTGGGATCATGATTATTTGACCAGATCATGAGTGTAGAAAATAATGCTGCCTTTTTTTCTTCTTTATAAATCATAATTCTTTTAATTTTATTTTCTTGCCTTGTTTTTAACATTTATTTATTTATTTATGTCCTTATTCATTTTTTGAGGCAGGGTCTTGTTCTGTCACCCAGGCTGGGGTGTAGTGGCATGATCATGGCTCATTGCAGCCTCGACCTCCCAAGCTCAAGCCATTCTCTTATCGCAGCCTCCTGAGCAGCTGGGACCACAGGCATGTACCACCACACCTGACTATTTTATATTCCCCAGGCTGGTTTCAAATTCCTGGGCTCAAACAATCTTACCGCCTCGGCCTCCCAAAGTGCTGGGATTACAGGCATGAGCCACCACGCCTGGCCTTAAAATTTATTTATTTTTAATTGACAATTTAAAAAATTAAGGAGTACATTGCAATGTACTCCTTAATTTTGTTATATGGTCTCACCCATATGTATACCTTATAAAATGATTGAATCAAGCTAATTAACATATCCATCACCTCACATAATTATATATATTTTTTCCTGTGGTGAGAACATTTAAAATCTACTCTCTTAGCAATTTTCAAATACACAATACATTGTTATTAATTATAGTCACCATGCTGTACCATAGATCTCCAGACCTCATAGCTCCTGTCTAACTGAAAATTTGTACCCTTTGACCAGCATCTCCTCATTTCTCTACTCTCTGCTTCTATGAGTTTCATCTTTTTCAATTCCAAATATAAGTGAGATCACATGGTATTAGTCTTTTTGTGCCTGGCTTACTTCACTGAGCATAATGTCCTCCAGGTTCATCCATGTTGTCACAAATGACAACTTCATTTTTATTAGTTGTGGCAAGAGGAAATGCATCCATTTCATCCTAAGGAGGCCCTGAAATCTTTCAACTTGGTGTTAAGAAGCAGAGCACAGGTCTACCTCACACCATTTGAAATAGCAATCTGCTTTCCTGGAAGGACTGTGCTTCCTGCTCTGATTCTGGAGGTCAAATGGAAACAATTCTTTGAAAGAGTGTTGAAAGCATTGGTTATTCACTTGGATCCTACAGCTTGGCCAGTGATAGATCTACAAACGCCGTGAAAAGCCTAGATTGATCCTGATTTCCTGGACAGGTTTAACTGAGTGGGGTAACAGTCAGTGGTGGTTCGGCTGCACCTAAAGCCTGAATGTTGCTTCTGCTGAGTGTCAGAGTCACAGACCCAGGCTACAGTTCTTGAGAGAAGGAGGCTTGTGTTGAGTCTAGAATCAATAGATTATGAATCTATACTTGGGAGGTTTGGCAAGGTGCCGTTTTAGGACCAGACCTAAGGTATTAATTGAGGAAAAAGGCTTTGCCTATATTAGGATCAACCACAGAGCATCAAGCCAAGGATGATATTCTTCCATTTTAAACTCTAATGGAGTTTACTCTGCTGGGTTTCAGACCTGCTTGCTATCTAAGACCCCCTTTTTTCCTTCCAGTTTCTCCCTATTTGAATGGGACTATTTGCTCCACTGTGGGACAGGAATAAGATAGATATTTCCATTCTGAAAACAGATAACTTGTCTGGTTTCATAGATTTACAGATGGAAAGAAATTTTGCCCAGGGATGAATCATACCTCAGGTCTCACCCATATCTGATTTATAGAATATTTGGATAAGATTTTGGACCTAGAGTTGATGCTGGAACGGTTTAAGACTTTTGGGGATGTAGGGAAGGGGTGAAATATATTCTGCCCATGAGAAGCACGTGCATTTTAGCGGGGTGGCGTGGGGAACTGTTAACTGTGTCCCCTAAGTTCAAGTGTTAAAGTCCTAATCCTCAGTACCTCAGAATGTGACCTTATTTGGAAATAAGGTTATTGCAAATGGAATTAGTTGAGACGAGGTCATACTGGAGTTGGTGGCTGGGGGTGGCGCTAATCTAATTTGACTGGTATCCTTATAAAAGGAGGACGCTTGGACACAGACATGCACACAGGGAGAACTCCATGAGAAGATGAAGACAGAGATTGCAGTGATGTGTCTAAAGCTAAGGAACACCAAAGGTTGCCCGCAACTATGAGAAGCCAGCGGAGAGGCGTGGAATGGATTCTCCTTCAATAGCCCTGCTTACACCTGATCTCAGGTGTTCAGCCTCCAGAACTGTGAGAAAATACGCTTCTGTTGTATAAGCCATCCATTTCTGGTACTTTGTTATGGCAGCTTTAGCAAACTAATACAGATTTTAGCAGGATTTAAAGCTTCATGGAAACAAAACTTCTCCGACAATTGTCTTCATCCCTAAGTTAATCAGCCCGAAGTAAATCCCTCCATTTTTTTAAAAAAGTTTTTACATTAGATTAAATGATTATTATTATTATTTTTTGAGACAGGTCTCGCTCTGTTGCTCAAGCTGGAGTGCATGGTGCAATTTCTGAGTGTTCTCTAAGCTCAACTTATGACGTTCCCTTGTTAACTTTGCCAAGATATTTTTGGCTTATTCTCCATTTTGGTCACTTCAGGAGTCAGGAAAGCAAGTCCGCAGTTTCCTGGTCCCCAGTGGCTGGGGCAGCTTTCAGCCTGTACACCATCTGCTTCTATGAAGACAGCTGGGCAGAGAGTTGGAGGCTTCTTATGTAAAAGATGTGAGGTTTGTGTCATGGGCTGCCACTTAAGAGGGTTTTGTTGTGGTAAGAGCTGAGCATAATAATTTTCTTTTTGATGAAAAGGGAGACCAGGCATGGTGGCTCATGCCTGTAATCCCAGCACTTTGGGAGGCCAATGCAGGTGGATCACCTGCGGTCGGGAGTTCAAGACCAGCCTGGCCAACATGGTGAAACCCTGTCTCTACTAAAAATACAAAAATTAGCCGGGCATGGTGGTGGACGCCTGTAATCCCAGCTACTTGGGAGGCTGAGCCAGGAGTATCACTTGAACCCAGGATGCGGATGTTGCAGTGAGCCGAGATCGTGCCATTGCACTCCAGCCTGGGCGACAGGAGTGAAGTTTTGTCTCAAAAAAAAAAAAAAAAAAGGGATATTTCTAAAGATGAAGCACGTGGAGAAACAATGTGTCCAGACCAGCTGTGGACACCATCCCAAATTCTTGCAAATACTAAAGAAGGTGTGTTAAACGTAGTTCAACAACTATGAGGTTGGTGCCAGGATCCTTGACCAGGGAAATATGGGCGTGGAGACACACCAGACTCATCTGAACAGGTTGCTGAATCTGATTAGGAAGGAATGCGTCCCTGATTGTACAATGCCTGGAACCCCCTGCAACGTCACCCAGGATACCACCATTAGCTTGTTCTTGTCTCAGTGAAGACCATACTGTCAGGTGTTCTACAACCTTGGATGTGAGAGAATGTATAAAATCTGGGGCTCTTGGGGATGGATGATGCTGAAGCCCGGAATTAAAAAATATCCCCTGGAGCTCGGTGTTTACTTCTCCATCCTGCTCCTTCCAAGCCAGAATCCTTAGTTACCACAATGCACAGCCCGGCAAGCCCTTGCCAACAGAAAGAGCATGCAGTTGTTTGCTTTTTGAAACTTAGGACTACCTCGTCTGCTGACTTGCCTACATCACCAGAGTTGGTGGTGAGAGGTGAAGCCAGCTGGACTTCCTGGGTCAAGTCGGGACTTGGAGAACTTTTCTGTCTTGCAAGAGGATTGTGAAGTGCACCAATTAGCACTCTGTAGTTAGCAAGGGGATTGTAAAATGCACTAATCAGCACTGTAAAAACGCACCAATCAGCACTCTGTAGCTAGCAAGAAAATTGTAAAATGCACCAATCAGCGCTCTGTAAAACACACCAATTGGCATTCTATAAAATGCACCAATCAGCACTCTGTAAAACGCACCTATCAGCAGGATCCTAAAAGTAGACAATTGCAGGGAAGATTGAAACAAGGGCATTCTGATAGGACAGAAACGGAACATGGTGGGGGACAAATAAGGGAATAAAAGCTGGCCACCGCCCCCACCCAGCAGCGGCAACCCACTGGGGTCCTTTTCCACGGTGTGGAAGCTTTGTTCTTTCCTCTTCACAATAAATGTTGCTGCTGCTCACTCTTTGGGTCCATGCCATCTTTAAGAGCTGTAACACACACCACCAAGGTCCACGGCTCTATTCTTGAAGTCAGCAAGACCACAACCCTACCGGCAGGAACCAACTCTGGACACATCTCGGGGGACTAATTTGTTCAGCTGGAGTGGATTGTTTTTCCCTGGTAGGAAAGTGTTTAAGACTTCCCTATCCAGAGAAGGCAGAGAGGGGTCTAGTGGGGAGTCATTTAGCTGTATAGGGGTGGTCTTCTGTTATAGGGAGAGGGGAGTTTGATATGTGGGAAGGGCTTCAAGTACAAAATGCTCTCAGGAGTTGGGGATGCCTAATGAACTGGATTCATAGATGAGAAAGAAAGGAGAGGGGCACTTCATCTTTCATGGTACAATCAGGAAACAAGTTCCTCAAAGTGGTTTCAACAGAGAGAAATTAATGCAGGGAGTTGGTTGCCCAGGAGGAGCTGAGAAGGCACACAGCAGATGGTGAGGCAGGTGAGAGACGAATAAGGCAGGAAGCCTCCACCAGCTGTGGCCTCAGAGGTGGGATTAGCCAGAGACCAGAAGCTGGGGCACCAGGTGGAAACAGAAACCAAACCAGGGCTGCTGAGTGGGAGCTAGAACCGTGGAGGAGGGCACTGTCTGATGGGAGATGGAGCTACTGTCCGAGATGGTGCTAGAGGTAAGAGGAAGAAATACCCTCGCAGGTCCTTATTTCCAGCACCTTTTGCTCGCACAAATTTCTGGAAAGCCATTTGTCAAGGAAACCAAGAAGGGAAAATGAGACGAAGGGCCCAGATGGAGCTGAGAGCCAACTAGCAGGTGACTGGCATGACCCTGATGAATGAGGTATTGTGTTGGGTGCCTTTAAGGGGCTTCTGTTGTGTGACCATGATGTCATTGGAGATCAGAAATGTGCATTTAGCTGTTTAAGGTCACATGAGGGCAGAGGCACATGTGAATGTGGGTTCTCTGGGTTGGGTTCTCTCATGCCATGGTGATTACGGTTTGCCCTTCTGGGGAGGAAGCAAACAACTGTCTACACTCTTTGTGGGCAAGAGCTTGCCAGGCTGTGCTTCATGGTCACTAAGGATGCTGGCTGGGAAGGAGCAGGATGGGATGCTTGGGCAGAAGAGGGATACAGCTGAGGAGTTGCAGGTGGGTCATGCAGGTGGGTGGTGGTTTAGTGCTCCCGCCTGAGCTTCATGGGCTCTCTAGCCCAGCTGAGGTCAGGTCGAGTACCCAGCACCCTGTGATAAAAGGAGGGCCTGC
This sequence comes from Homo sapiens, assembly GCF_000001405.40. Lineage (NCBI taxonomy): Eukaryota > Metazoa > Chordata > Mammalia > Primates > Hominidae > Homo > Homo sapiens. The sequence continues at coordinate 4,613,275 of NC_000006.12, read as the reverse complement.
TCATTATGGTGACATTTCTTTCCGTGGTAACTGTCTGAGCCTTTTGCTCTGGACTGAAGATAAAAAGCCACCTCTTTGTGGGAGGAGGCCACATAGACAGGCCAGGGCTGGGAGAACAATGGGCAGGTACTCCACTGGGTTCCCAGCAGCAACATTGTAGGAGCAGCCATGTGAAAAACGAGAAAGTGGGTTTTGGCCATGGTTTGGGTTATGGAGGGAGAAAGTGAGGGAAACCTCCAGGTCATGCCAAGATTTCAAAGCAGGAGCGACAGCTCTTTGGCCCAAGTGCAGGCACAGCCCTTGTTGTAATGCTGTCTGCCAGGCAACGGCTACATTCTGGGAAGACAGAGGCAACCCCCAAATCCTTTGAGCTCATCTCTTTTTGACTCACAGATGGATCTCCCCCATGAGCAACACTTTGTGGAGTTTTGGAATGGATTTCGTGTTGCAACAGTGTTTTCTAGCTGGTTGTCTAATTTAAGTGGTGAGTCTGCAGAATGTCCAGGGAGGATTTGAATTCAGATGATAAGGCTGCATGGATTGCAATGCTGACAGATTTATGCACAGCATTGCAGGAAGGTCTCCAAGTCACTGAAAATGTTTCTGAAGGTCACTGCAAACTCTTTGCGTGGGACATAATCTATGAAAGTTTTGAGTTCTCCTTGTTTTCTCTAGAGTAATGATTCTGAAATACTGTTGCTAAGTGGTCAAAGCTACTTTTCTCAGCCCTTTTCTTTCTCCTCTCATTTTCTGTTGGTTCCTTCTGGAAGGAAGGAGAAGCATTTTCTCACTGAAGCAACATCTAAGTTACAATGCCTCATGCTCACCATTGCTCCAGGCCCCAGGGTGCTTTGCAGTTATGCAGTCCTGTCTAAATGAGTGCTCCAGTGGATGACAGAAAATGCTGCTTCAAAGATGTTAACCTGGATGCATAGAAAATTTTCTTGTTTTTTTGTTTTTTTTTTTTTTTTTTTTTTTTGAGACGGAGTCTCGCTCTGTCCCCCAGGCTTGAGTGCAGTGGCATGATCTCGGCTCACTGAATAAGTGTTGACTATAGAAAAAAAGAGAAAATTAGAAATGGTACCTTGACTCTACACTTCTAACAATCGCAGTCTGCTGTATTCTGGTAGTTTCCTGATGCGAAGGACGTTAAGCAACGTGTGTGTGTGTGTGTGTGTGTGTGTGTGTGTGTTTTAAATCTAGGATTGAATACAGACCATCTATTTTGGGTCTGAATGACCCAGTCTGGCAGTGGGTGATCTCATTCCATTGGACAATTTGGTCCAAAAAGCATTTCATTAATTACACTCAGCGCAACAACTTGCCCAGGAATCTGCTTCTGTGCTTGGAGAATAATCCCACTTTATAAACAATCCACTTTATTTAGCACAGGCCTTCAAGAAAACACCAGACACTGACATGATGAATTGCTCTCTTGGGAGCACGGGTGGGTGAGACTGGGGAGGAGGATGGGAAGTGAGAACTTGGTCCGTTTACCGGAAGACAGCAGCACACAGATCTGCTTGCACCCTGTACCTCATTGTCTAGGATAACAGGATTCCACAGCCTTGCCCTGATAGAAGCAACTCGGCAATTAATGGGTTGATGGCCCACAGTCCTTCCAAGGAAAACCCATGTTTGCTTGCTGCAGCCACGTGGACAACAGGCAGGCTCACCACAATGCCTGCAGGCCCTTCCTGGTCTCTCAATTTCACTCCTTCAACAAGCGTTTAGCAGATGCCTCCTCCTTATTACCTTCTGTATTAGGTGCTGGGGATACACTGGGAGAAGGTTCTTGTTCTTAAGGAACTTCTGATCCTACAGCAAGCCAGTGATGAGGGGAGAAGTGGTAGAATGGGGGGGATTCACAGCATGAGCACACAGAGGAGGGATACTCACTATGGGGCAGGGAGTGGAGGCTGGTGCTTAGTCGTCAGCATTCATTCTCTGGAACTCTGTGGACCCGTGCTTCTATATTTGCACATAGTAAGTTCTAATTTAACCATGAATTTTGGAAAAACCGTGATCATAGAGTTTCTTTCTCTGTCTTCCTTTCTCATCTCTTCCTCCTTTCTCTCTCCTTATGAACAGCGGTCTTTTCAAAGTTAGCCCATAGGATTGGGACCAAGCCTGAGATTCCAAACAGTGTTGGAGAGGGTGGAGTGTAGAGAAGCACCTGAGTCTCATGGTGAAGTTAGAGACAGGGACCCCGAGGCCTGGCATGATTGGAAGCAGGGCACAAAGATGAGTGTAGAGCAGAGGCCAGCGGGAGGGTAAGGAGCCTGGAGGTCAGGAGGCCTGCAGAGGGGAGAAGAGCAGAAACAGGGTCGGGAAGTGCCCCAACCCAGCAGTCCCTGCCTCCGCAAACAAGACTTGCTGGACACCAAGGCAGCCTCCTGACCTGACTTGCACACCAGTCACACACTTGCCTCCCAACAGGAATGACTAGACTCCGGAGCTCACCTGAGGCCTGCAGGTAGGAGCTGGAGAAGGATGAGGTCGGGGCGAGGAGTTCGCGGAAGCATTGGCAGGCCTGGACTCTCCTTTGCGCTGTTTCGTGGTTTATTTCCCAGCTCTAAACAAGGACGTCCTGCAAACTTCTGATGGGTTTGGTTTTGTGGTAACTTCTTAGAGAGCTCAGAGCATCAAGGAAGAACATTTCCTCAGGATGCTGAGGCGTGGACTGGCTTTCATCTCAATTTTCTTCAGCTGATTTCCTTCAATGTTGTTTTTCTCTTTTGAACAAAAGAATATGCTGTTTGTTCGGTCACATGGACTTGTGGTTACTCACCCGTGGAAGGAGGCCACCCCTCGAGACTCTGGCAAGAGCAGGGGAAATTCCTTTCAACACCAGCCCCGAGGAATTCTCATGATCCTGGTTTCCATTTTGGTCAAATTAAAGATGAAAGGACTCGATCCAGCACTGAGGAGGACGATAGTTTTGATTCTGAGGGAGACACAGCTAGATGAAAAACCAGGCTAACCTTTTATCTGGTATGAGAGTGGAGAGGCACATCCTGTGACAAATTGAGCATCCATTGTGTGAGGAATTCCTGCTTCAGGCCCCATCTCAGAAATCAAAGCCTTGTAGGTGAGGAGAAACAACCGTGAGGCGGCAGGTTTATTTATTTATTTTCCCACCAAAGTCTTAGATAACTTTACTGGGTGCCTGCCTTCTTTTTGGTTTTGTGTTTGCATAATTTTAGAAATGCCATTAGGAATAGCTGCTTTCCTAGAGAAAGTTTCCAGTTGGTAAAAACAGGACAAGCTGTTTTCGATAATCATGAACCTTTTCATTTGAAGGGTTCTTTTCCATACTCCTGACTCCCACCACCTCTGATATAGGTAATTCCATGAACTTTAGCACTTCTTGATTTGGTATTCTTTAAAAAATTTTAAATTGTGGCAATATACACATAACATAAAATTTAACATCATATCCAATTCTTTTATTTTTAAAAAGATTTATTTATTTATTTGAGATAGGGTGTCGCTCTGTTACCCAGACTGGAGTGGAGTGGTGTGATTACAGCTCACTGTGGCCTCAACCTCCTGGGTTCAAACAATCCTCTCACCTCAGCCTCCTGAGTAGCTGGGGCTACAGGCTCACGTCCCCACACTGTTTAATTTTTTAAATTTTTTGTAGAGATGGGATCTCACTATGTTGCCCAGTCTGGTTTCAAACTCCTGGCCTCAAGCAGTTCTCCTTCCTTGGTCTCTGAAAGTGTGGAGATTATAGGCATGAGCCCCTGTGCCTAACCTCCGGAAGTCTTTCCATCCTCCCGAACTGGAACTCTGTACACGTTAAATCCTAACTCCCCACTTCCCTAGCCCCACTCTGCAGTCCCTGGCATCCCCTTTCTACTCTCAGTCTCTACGAGTTTGACTAATCTAGGACCTTATATAGGTGGAATCAGCAATACTTGTCATTTTGTGACTGGCTTATTTCACTTAGCATAATGTCCTCATAGATTTGGCATTCTTTTACTTTGTCTTTAAAATACTATTTCCTCTTAACATCCAAGGGCTAACTCATTTAAACTTTGGAAAGGTCATCAATAAAATTTAAAAATATTTCCTAAGCCTGGAAATTGTAAAGACAAGTATGGATCTGTGAAACACCCTATTGCTTGCAGCAGAGCGGAACATCTCAGAGGTGAAAAACCAAGTGAAGAAGAGGCTCGTGTTAAGTGGCGCCAGCTGGGAACGTCCTGTACAGTAGGGCGCTGAGCCCTCAGGCCCGCAGCCAGGGGTAGGGGATTCTCTGCAGATGTGCCCTCCTCATGGCTGGTGCCGGTGGTCACGCTGCTCTCCTGGGGCCGTGGCGACAGCTGTCCATGGAGTAGGGCTGGCAGCGGCTCTGGAGGGAGGCATCTGCCCGGGCTGTCACCGGAGTGAAAGAACAGGAGGCAGCTGCGCAGAGGCAATGGCAAGGACAGGAGCAGAGGACACAGAAAAAACACCCTCGATCTCCTTGTGTGCTTTCCCCCAAAGCACAGGCCCCAGCCTGGTCATCGTGCCTCCCCAAAGTCAGGGAATACCCCAGAGGCTGTTCCTCCTCTCCGTGTTCAGGCCTGGCAGTCTGTTCTTGGACAGAGAAGGCTCATGCCAAGGCAGCTGCCCGGCAGTGTCACACGAATGCTGGAACAAGGGGGGCTGGGTGAGGACACCAGACCATTCATCTCACAGACACGGCCTTTAAAAGCTCCTTGAGGTTTTCTTATGTCTCAGTAGCAATGCAAATAATCTCTAAGAACCGTGACACCATCTTTTTCAAAGACATGTAATTTGCTACTGTCAATAACACGGATTTCCCACCCGAAAGAGCCAATGTGTTTTCTCGCTATTTATCAAATCTTTTATACTCTGATGACTAATGGAAAATACAATGGCAATTTGTTACTGTTTTGGCATTGTTTGCTATCAGAAGTGACACTGGAACAAAGGGGTAATAAGTTATGGTTGCATTCAAAGTTTATTCTCTCCTGCGGGAGTATACACACTCACATATCAATAGGAGTTGATAACTATAATGTGTGTAGCCTTTATGAATTATCTGTGTAATAATTTTCACTTTAAAAAAGCATGTTCCCATCCGTCAGTTCATTTCGGCATCACGAGAATGTTTATGATATTGTTTCAGTTGAACAGAACGAGACTTAAAGGAGAAATGGCTTGTCGAAGGCCCTATAGGAAGTCAATTGGGGCTAAAATTAGGTCTCCTGAGTCTTAAACCAGGGCTCTTTCCACTAAACTGTACTTGAGAAGAAGGTGTCAGAACCACAGGAAGCATGGTGAGAGATGTGTTTCTTTCTCCTGCTGACTTCTCCCCAGCCCCAGCCCAGACAATTCTGAAATGTTAGAGTAGTGATTGCTTGAGAACCAAGGGGACTATTTGGCTGAGCTGTTTAAAATTGCCGTTTTTAAAAGATTAAAACAGTCAAATATCAACAATTGCAAATGTTTCAAACTAATTGCTCTCCCCAGATTTATATAAGGTTATATTTCCCGTGTAGCGTCAAATTGGTCTTTTTATTGGTTAATTTGGCTGGTCGCTTTGCTTTCAATTTTGCTGCCCCTTGGTCTGAAACAGCCAGTGACCTCAGATCATTGTTTTAGTGGCTTCTGTAACCAAATCGAGCCAATTATAGAGGCAGCTGGCCAAACCATGCAATTAACCCCAAGCAAGGCAATTCAGGGTCATGTAAGTATGACTCACAAATGACCAGCCTATAAGAATTTTCAACAGGTCTAACCTGCTCTTGGTTACTGCACATTTTGCCTGAAAAAACAATTAGATCATATTCTTTTTCTGTTCATCTGGCATACGTTTGCATGAGTTCTGGTGAGTGGGAGATTTCCAAGGCTGTTACAGGGGGATCATTAGAAAATCAGGAGGGATCTTGGCCGAATGTCAAGAATGAAGGAGCAGCAAGTCAAGCCGCCAAGGAAACACACATTAGAGTCATTCGTTCTCACCACTCGGCGGAAGCTGGTAACTCGCTCCACTGGCCAGGCTTCCCACCATCTGGAGTGGAGTCCGGGTGCTCCTACCAGGGATGGATGAGCTCCAAGTGCAGGCAGCCTGGCACAAGGGCCGCGGCCACCAATGCTGGAAGATAGAGCCTCCTGCTTCCTGCAGACAGCAGAGCAATGAGGATGGCGCTTTGTGCCTTTTCTGGTTACAAGGTGCTATTGTGAATCACTTGATGTTGAGCGTGAAATTACATGGAGCTGTGAAGCCTTTGGTGCTGCCGACTGGGAGGAGCAGTGTTTCCAAGGTGTTTCTCTGTGTCCCTGTTTCTGGCAGCGAGGGCTTCATTTTCACTTTGCGTTCCAAGTGGGGAGAGTTTACAAAAGGGCAGGGCAGAAGAACAGTGGTTCCCACAGAAAGATTACAGATGCATGGGCTAATGTTAGAAAGACAGCAAGGGGCAGCTGCCCACAATCCCGGCAGGAACGTGTCAGACCATGCTGGAGGAAAGCAAAGTCAATGGAGAATGACTTGGTGCAGTGGAAAGTCAGCTCTATGGACCAAAATCCTTCAGCAACCCTGATTTGTAACATTTGCCAATATCTGTGGTGTAAAAAATACTCCCACTGTGGCCAATTTCAAATTGCCAATAGCTTAACAACTGGCTTGCAAAATTTCTGGGTGTTTGATACTCTTCTCTTTAGAGCCTGTGTGAGTTGGCTCCAAAGAGGCACTGAGTGGCTTAAAAACGGAAATCAGGCAAATGTATAAGCAAAGTTAAAGTTTACGTAAGGATATTGGGGTGAGAAGCAAGTGTCTCGGAGTGACCCATCCCCTGCCCTATTTCGTTTGCCTCCCTTTTTTGTAAGTTCTCCAAGGATCAGCACTCCCTTGACCAATCACAAGCATCCCAGTCCCAGGTGACCTAACCCACTCAGGCCCCACCCCTGCAGTCCCTAGAGCTGGTGGTCTTCCTACAGACCCCCTTCTACACTTGCGTGGCATCAGCAACGCGTGCTGCACCTGCAGTGCAGAGGTCTCGGGTTCCAGCAGGCAGGCTGAGCACTGAGGGCAGGTTGCTTGTCTCCTGGAGGGAGCCGTTGAGGAGCTGTCACTTCGCTGGAGCATGTATTGGCCTCAGATTCCTCCCCTAGCGGGCTCCATGCATAATTTTAAAAAGCCAATTGCAGGAGTAGGAATTCAGTTCAATTGTGGGGAAGGTAGAACCCAGCTTTTAGGTAGTGTGGGTTTATAATTCTATAGGATGGGCTTATTCAGAAATAAATTCATGTGACTCTGAGTGAAGAATTGAGTATCTAATAATAAATTTTTCTTCCAGTTATGCAACCATTAGTGCTGTGTTTGTGTTTTGGCCAACACGCTTTTTAAGCTAGGCCTCAGTTTCCTGAGTGCAAAAATGAGTGGCAGAAATGAACTGAGGTCTGAGGCTTCTGTCTGTCCTGGCATGCTGTGGTTCTGGGACGCTAGTGGTGCCAGGGCACCGTTTCCCCACACTTTTCCATAAAGTCTTCAATCCCTTTATACATTTGATTGTTGGTTTTTGTACTCCTGGGACACCTAGTGCTCCACTGAACATCACTATTTAGCTGTGCCACAAACAAGGTATTTTTTGGCTACACAAACTTGGAGTGCACTGTAGGTCAAACTAGCACTTTACTATGAGTTTTCCTTAGAATCTCTGATAGTCCAGGGTACATTGTGTATGTCTGTTTCCAAAAGGGAAACTCAATGCTCATGGATTCCCAAATGTTTTAACTGCAAATCATCTTGTTGTTTTTTTTTTAAATACTGTATTAGTCTCCTAGTGCCACAAATTGGGTGACTCA